>NC_000002.12:153853254-154156284 GCF_000001405.40 Homo sapiens
TGGGTCTGTGTCTCCCAGCCCACTGACTCAAATGTTAATCTCCTTTGGCAACACCCTCACAGACACACCCAGAAACAATACTTTGTATCCTTCAATCAGATCAAGTCAACCCTCAATATTAACCACCACACTTGCACACAAGTGTTAATAGCACCCTTATTTATAATAGTCAAAAACTGGAAACAAATCAAGTATCCAGCAACACGTGAATAAATAAATTGTCATATAAATTATATAGCTGAATGTATGGATTAGATAGCTAGCTAGCTAGAAATAGAGATGATGGAATATCTCCAAGAAATTAAAAGAAATGAACATGCATAGAAACATAGATACATGCAACAACATGGGTGAATCTCAAAAAAATTATGCTGAGTAAAATAGGTTGGACAAAAGTAATATACACTGTGTGATTCAATTATATAAATATAATTATACAATTGCATAATATCATATAATTATATATTACAATTGTATTATACAATTGTATAATATAATTATACAATTATATAAATATAATATACACTGTGTGATTCAATTATATAAAATTCTAGAACATACAGTTCTAGTGACAGGAAGCAGAATAATGGTTTCCTAGGAATGTAAATAGGGTTAGAAAAAGAGTTATAAGAGAGGAATTATGAAAACGCATGAGGAAATTTTGTGGGCTGATGAATTGGAATAATGAACATATCCATCCATCACCCCACAGAATTTACCATCCGTCAGCCCATAGGTATATACATATGCCAGATTCATCAAGTTATATACCTTAAATCTGTGAAGTCCATAGTATGTTAATTATACCTCAATATAACTATAAAATGTAAGCGTTGTAAAGAAACACAATTGTAATTATTGCTAATAACATAATTAAGAACCTAAAAAACCCAAAGTAACCACATACAAACTATTAGAGATACGTTGCTAGATACAATGTTGCCAGATACAAAAGTTCATATATAGAAAGCAAATCTTTCTATAAATCCGAAATAATTAAGATATTTTATATAAAAAATATAATTTATATTATTAAAAAATCAGGCCGGGTGCAGTGGCTCATGCCTGTAATCCCAGCACTTTGGGAGGCTGAGGTGGGCAGATCACCTGAGGTCAGGAGTTCAAGACCAGCCTGGCTAACATGGTGAAACCCCGTTTCTACTAAAAATACAAAAAATTAGCCAGGCGTGGGGGTGCACACCTGTAATCCCAGCTAGTAGGGAGGCTGAGGCAGGAGAATCACTTGAACCCGGGAGGTGGAGGTTGCAGTGAGCTGAGATCGCACCATTGCAGTCCAGCTTGGGGAACAAGAGCAAAACTCTGCCTCAAAAAAACCCCAAAAATTTATCAGAATGTAACAAAAAATATAAGACACCTTTTCAAAGGCAACTTCAAATATAATTAAAATAAGGCAAGGAAACATAATAAATGGAAACATATACTATGTTATGTTAAAAGAGTCAATATTTTAAAGATATCAACTCTCCACAAATTAATTTATGGTTTCAATATAAATAAAATCAAGCAAATTTTTTGGTGGAAACTAACACGCTGCCTCTAAAATGTATACATAAATGCAAAGGGCCAAAATAATCAGTTCAATTTTGGAAAGGAAGAGAAATGAACAACTTCCATTACAGAAACAAAAACATTATCATTCTACATTAATTTTGACAATGTGATATTGTAGCAAGCATAGAAAGTTGATATTGTAATGATATAAATTCCATAAATGAGCCAACGTGTATATAAACAAGCCTACATGTATATAAATGATAAAGATTTCACAAACAAGCCTACTTGTATATGCTTACTAGATTTGTGACAAAGTTGGAAATGTGGAACAGCAAGAAATAGAATAGTTTCCTAATAATGCTGCTGAAATAATTAAATATTCATGTGGAAAAAGTTAATTTTAACACACACCATACACAAAAATTAATTGTAACTTATTACAGATTCAAGTGTCAAAGGTAAATAAGTAATCCTTCTAGAAATGTAACATGGGAGAACATATTTATAACCTATAGGTAGGGAAAATATTCCTTAAATGGACACCTAATGCATTAAACATAAAACAAAGAATTGAGAACTTTTATAATTGAATAATGAAAAGTAATCTGATGAAAAATGGACAAGGAAAAAACAAAACAACAACAAAAATGGGCAAATTACCTGGCTAGGCATTTCTCCAAAGAAGATTGCAAATGTCAATAAGCACATGGAAAAATGCTCAAATGCTCAACATTAGTCATCAGAGAAATGCACATCAAAGCCACAATGAGACACCACTTTTCACCCATTAGGATGGCTATAATCAAAAGGACATCATAAGTATTGTCCAGGATGTAGAGAAATTGTAAACCTCATACATTGCTGGTGGGACTATAAAATGACACAGCTGCTTTGAAAATTAGTCTGGCAATTCCTAAAAATGTTAAATGAAGTTACCATATAACCCAGCAATTTCACTCCTAGGTATATACACAAGAAAAATGAAGACATACATCCACACAAATACTTACAAGTGAATGTTCGTAGCAGCATTTTTCATAATAACAAAAACAGTGAAAATAACCTAAATGTTGAATGGATGAATAAAATGTGGTATGTTTATCTGATTAAATATTTTTAATCTATAAAAAGGAATAAGTGCTGATGCATAGCACAATGTGGATGAACCTTGAAAACATTATATTAAAGAAATCTCACAAATGATCGCACAGTGTTATGATTCCATTTATGTGGTAAGTGCAGAATAGGCAAATATGTAGAGACAGAAAAAATATTTGTGGTTGTCTAAGCCTTGTGAGGCATGGAGGATATAGGGAGGGATTACAGATGAATATGGAATTTATTTGGGGGTGATGAAAATGTTCTAGACATAGTTGTGGTGATGGTTACACAGCTCTTTGAATATATTAAAAACTATTTTGCTATACAGTTTAAATGGGTGAGTTGTAAGTGTTATAAATTGTATCTCAATAAAGCTGTGATAGGTAGCTAGAAATACAGATGACTGGTAGGTAGGCAGGTAAATAGATAGATAGTTGTTTTAAAGTGGGAAACTTCTGTTCATTAAGGATTTCCATTAAGAACATTAAAATACAAGACCCAGAGTGGAAGATATTTTTAACACACGTGATCAATAAAGGTCTAGTATTCAGAATATATAAAAAACTGCAAACAACCAACATTAAAACGTGGATCTAAGGTTTGAATGACCATTTCACCAAAGAGATTATCCAAATGTTTCAATAAGCATGTGAAAATATGCTCAATCTCACCACTCGTCAGGAAAATGCAAATTGAAATCAAAATGAGGTAAATCCGAACTGAATGCATAAAATCTGAAAAGACAAAATTTCTTGTCTAGGTGAAGATATGGAGAAACTAGAATTTCCATACACTCTGAACAATAGGGAAAATTTATACAATTACATTTGAACAATTGTTGACAGTTTCTAATGAAGTTGATTTATCCTTTGATTGGGCAGTTCTTTTCCTAGGAATCTACACCACATAAATGAGTACATGTGTTAAACTAAGGACAAGTATAAGAATTTTTATAACAATATCATTGATAATAACCAATACTAGAAACAATCCAAATGATTGTCAACTCTAACGTGGATCTATAAGTTATAGAACTGTATGGGATAGTATACTGCACTGAAAATGAACTACTGCAACATATGGATATATCGCATGAACACAGAATTGGGCAAAAAAAGGTATATGCAAAGGAGTGTGAATAATTCCTTTATATTAAGTTCAAAATAGGTGTTAGAAATTGGGATACTGGTTACCTTTGGGAAACTGAAGGGAATTTTATGGTGGGACTTGGTTTTTAGTGATATGCTATAGCCAGCTTGCATCAATGTGTAAGGATTGTTAAGTTTTCAAATTTTGCAGGCTGATCGATGTCAACTTGGTAATTTGAAATTAGCCATATTGGGAGTATTCACCCTGTGAAAATTGAGTTTTTTCAATGCAGTGTGTTTTTCTTTTCCAGTGGAGGAGGTGGTTGTTATATATTTACCAGCGTACCACTGATACAAGGATTTATGCACCTATGATTTGTGAACTTTTCTCTATTTATGTTATACTTCAAGACATAAGTTAATTCATGTTTTAAGGAAGGGAATAATGAAAGTCACTGTAATTTCAAAAAAAAATCTGTATCACATAATCTAACCCAAATCCAGGGAAAATGGGGCAGGAGAACCAAGTAGGCAGCTGTGAGAGAAGCAACAGGGCCAAAGCATTCGTAAAAAATCATTGATTTCATTTCTGCTTTAACCACTTAGATCAAAGGTCATGATCTTTTGTTTTTACAGAGGTCAGACGAGTTATAGAAAAATCTTTGCATATTTATTCACATAGGAATATTCTGCACTTCCACATATATATTTTTTAAAACTTTTTCTTGAAAATCACATACCTCTTCTTGATATATCTGAAACTTGGTGATTAAAGGATTGAGAACTGATGTTGGACTGCCAGTGTTTAAATACAGGATTTTAATTTTTTTAGGTATGTGATCCTGAGCAAACTATATAACTCTTGCTTCCAGTTTCCTCATTAGCCAAATGGGGAAAATAATCATGCCCATAACTTATTCATTGAGACCAACTTTCAGAGTAAGACTTATGTGCCAGGTATGAGTCTTAGAGCAGGATATGTAGTAAGAAGTGAAATACATGAAGATCTATTATGTTAATTTAAAACTGCCTCTATAATAGGAGGGAACACAGAGAATAAATAGGATATATAAGTAAAATCTATAGGAGGTAATAACCACGGAGGAAAATCAACTAGGAAAGAGAGATAGGTGTATCAAGGTATAAATTAGGTGATCTTAAATTAAGTGGTTAGTTTTTACTGAGAAGATGACATTAAAGTCAAGTCTTGAATGAAGAGCAACTATATGGGATAAGTGCATCATAGGAAGAGGGGACAGAAAATGCAAAGGCCCTAAGGCCCAAGTAGGCCCCAATGATTTGATAACTAGCATGGAGGCCAGTGTGATTGAAGCAGAGTAAGAAAGGGTCAGAGATAGGCCACTGAAAGGACTCTGATATTTACTCAGACTAAGATGTGGAGGTGTTCAGGGTTTTAAGCAGAGTGGTAATAAGATCTAACTTGGGTTTAATAATAGATTCAAGGAGCGCAGGGAGAGAAACAGAAGGTGATTACAGTAGTCCCCTCTTATTTTTGGTTTCAGTTGCACATGCTTTCAGTTACCTCTGGTTCACTGCAGTCCAAAAGTAGGTGAGTTCAGTAAAATAAGACCATTCTGAGAGAGAGAGATCATATTTATATAACTTTTATTTCAGTGTATTGTCACAATTGCTCTATTTAATTATCAGTTTCTGTTGTTAATCACTTAATGTTCTTAATTTAGAAATTAAACCTTATCATTGGTATGCCTGTATAGAAAAAACCTAGTTTATAGGTTTTTTTATTTATTTATGATTATTGTTATTATTTTTTGAGACACAGCCTCGCTTTGTTGCCCAGGCTGGAGTACTGTGGCCTGATCTCGGCTCACTGCAACCTCCGCCTCCTGGGTTCAAGCAATTCTCCTGCCTCAGCCTCCCTAGTAGATGGGATTACAGGTGCCTGCCACCATGCCCAACTAATTTTTGTATTTTTTAGTAGAGATGGGATTTCGCCATATTGGCCAGGCTGGTCTCACACTCCTGGCCTCAGGTGATCTGCCCGCCTTGGCCTCCTAAAGTGCTGGGATTACAGGCATGAGCCACATGTCTGGCCAAGTTCATGGGTTTTTATATGGCATAAGGTTAAGTACTAGCTGCAGTTTCACGCAACCATTGGAGGTCTTGGAACTTCTTCCCTGGGAAGAGGGTGTACTACTGTAGAATAATCCATGTGAGAAATGATGGCCTCTTGGTCCGGTTAGCTTCTTTTGCATTTGGCAAAGTAGGTTCAATTTTTCTAGATCTAATTTTAAGAGAAACCAAATATATAGTATCCTAATAAATATCCTAATTTTCTAATGTTGGATTAATTTTGTTTTGTTTTCTAACACGTGAAGATACTCATACACACAATCTGTATCTACAGATTTTTAACTGGAATCAATTCTGTTACGAGAATACTGTTCCTAACCCTTTTGACTGCTCTTTATGCTAAGTCTTTTCTTCATAAACCAATGAATCTCAAACCAGGGTCTGGCTTGATTTCTCTCCTTACTTACTTCATACCTTTGGTGCTGGCTTTCATTTTTCTGTCCTGAGTCTTAAAATATAACAAATTGTTTCATAAATATTTCCCTTAGTAGAAAAGACAAAGAGGAAACAAATAAGACAAATAAGAAAAATAAATAGATAAGTATAACATTGTCCAACTTTTCTTTAATATTAGGAGGAAAAAAGCAAAAACATGTATTCACCCTGAACCACACAGATGGTGGCTATGAAATACAAATTGGAGACAACTTTCTAGATGTAACTGGAATATCCACCTAAATTTTGATGTAAAGAGTACATATTTACTTAAAAATCTAGAAGTTATCACTTCTATACTTTTTAATGGAAGACTTTACAAAGACTTGTAGTAAATACTACCATACATTCAGCATTAATAGTCAGAATAATTGGCTGAGAATGCTACCCAAATAGTTTTATAGGAAGGTGTATCACAAGTGAAATTCATAATTTACATGTATAAAATTGGTTCCTCTTTTCATTGGTACTAATAACAAAAATGTCAATCACTAAAAGGTAGATTTTTTTGAAGGTGAATAAAGAAGTCCTATATAATCCACTTCTCAATAAAGTAAGATAATTTGAAAGTCAATTACTTTCATGTATTCATTTATTGAAAGTAAGTTACTTTCAAATACATGAATTTATTCAGACGTTTTGTACTTTGTTCTGAAACTTTGGAAATTGGGTTGCCAAAAGGCAAAATATTATGATAAAATAATGCTTTGTAAAGAAGAATTCTGAATTTTCAAAATGTTGAAGTTACTATCAAAGTGCTTTGAGTCCTGACGAACAGATCATGCTTCTATTCCTGTTCCTTCTTTTCCTTCTCTTTCATATATTAGCCACTTTAGGACATCCTTGTACTTGCCCTAGTGAGCAAAGCAAAGTTCAGAACAATCGAGGGATAGAGGATATAGTTGCTTGACTATTTAGGACCAAATCAGTTGACTTCTATCCTCTTTTACTATTTAGGACCAAATCAGTTGACTTCTATCCTCTTTTACTATTTAGGACCAAATCAGTTGACTTCTATCCTCTTTTACTATTTAGGACCAAATCAGTTGACTTCTATCCATATGCAAAGCTTATGGAAGGGTCAGCAGGTGGTTGTTGGGAAGCCAGTCTTCTCCACAGAGAGAAGCAATCACTTCCTAACTACAAAGTGGTTATATAGGAGACAAAAATATAGAACTATATGATGACCCATGCTATTTATCGGGCTCTCACTAAGTGGGAGGCACTCCATTCTATCTATTAGGGATATTTCTATGACCAACGTGACAAAAGTCCCTGGGGCTTACACTTTAAGTGGGAATCTGTGTGCATATGTGTGCTGATGCATGATCGTGTGTATGATACTCACACAGAGGACAAATGCAAATGATAGGAGTAGTAATTAGGTCTAGGAGCAGGAGAAGGAGCTCTCATAGTACCAATGTTTATTCTGATTCTAAGTTAGGATCATTACTGAGTTTAGGGATTTGAGGAGGCAGAAAGCAGTGAGAGCAGTGATATGTATCTAAAGAGTTCTGATCACCTGGACTGCTATTCCTAAGTTTTCCCCACAGCAAGGAGCATGAAAGCTTCCTGGATCCAACTTAAGCCTCTTTTATATTTTGGAAATGACAGCAGTGACTTTTAAAAATGCAAGGACTTAGACATAGCTACCATTTACTGAGTTCCTAGTCTAAGCAAGGTAATATACTAGGGAACCTCCATAAACTGCATTATTTAATTCTCAAAATATCTATTATTATATGTAGTGTATACTTATTTTACCAACGAAATAACTACTTCTCAGAGGGTACATACCCAATGTCATATAGCTGTGAAATGGCAGAATTGGATATTTATTCCATGTCTGTTTTAAAGTCTACAGTTAGTTTGTGGACCCTTGGCCTGAGAAGGAATGTGGTATTTAGACAAATAAAATGACAACTTTGTGTAGACTGGTGAATGAAAATGAGAATAATTGTTCATTTACTATTTTCTATGGTTTATGATGAAAATAAAAGTAGAAGTTCTGCTTTTTAAAAGCTGATTTTTTCTCTTTTCTTTTTCTTTCTTTCTTTTTTTTTTTTTTTTTTTTTTTTGATAAGGAGTTTCGCTGTTGTCGCCCAGGCTGGAGTGCAATCATACGATCCTGGCTCATCGCAACCTCTGCCTCCTAGATTCAAGCGATTCTCCTGCCTCAGCCTCCTGAGTAGCTGGGATTACAGGTGCCTGCCACCATGCACAGCTAATTTTTGTGATTTTAGTAGAGATGTTTAGTAGAGGGTTTCACCATGTTGGCCAGGTTGGTCATGAACTCCAGACCTCAGGTGGTGATCTGTCCGCCTCAGCATCCCAAAGCACTGGGATTACAGGCATGAGCCATCGTGCCCAGCCTCCTTTCTTTAATGGATGCCTAGAGGCCATGACACTAGGTCTTATATCAATTTTTAAAATCTAGCTAATGGTGGCTCACGTGGTTTGCAGACTGGTGGGGAGGAAGTACTATTTTCAGTTTTTACTTTTAACCACTCTAATCCCAAAAGATAATATAACAACATATGTGTCACATGACATATTTAGTCCTATTGTATGTTTTATGAGAGGTGGCTATAAAAGTGAACTTTTCAAATTCAATAATCTTATAGCAATTACACACTTAGAAAGATAGCTCTGGGTATTTGCTTCTTAAAAATAAATTGTACTACAATTTAAAGATTCACACACACGTACACACATGCTTATATAATAACCTTTTGTTCAGAGAAGCAGCACAAAGGTGTCAGTCAAGTTGATATAACTAAAGGCCTGGAAAAAAATCTTGCAGAACTGTTTCATGTATCTTGGAGCAAAAATACACTTAAATGTTTTCAATTCTATTTCTTTATAAATTTGAGTAACTCTTAATATCCTATACTATAAATTGTGAAGGGTGAATTCTCATGTTTATGGAATTCTTCATGGAGAGAATAATACTATGTTGTTTATGGCTAATAGATTTCATTGCTTTTGGATTATACTGATGACTATTTCAAGGCAATAGTACTTCAAAATAGTGTTACATATTCCACCCTAATATTTCTTTCCTAACACTCATAAATTAGGCATATCATTTAAATATTTTACAATTTTTCCTTTTTTATGTGTTAAATTTTAATACTATTCTTATTTTACTATACCTTACATTTGTAAAACGCTTTATATTTTCCAAAGAAATATACATATGATGTATTTTATAGCATATATATATTTGTATGGTTCCTTTTCATATACGTAAGATAATTACTACGTACATCTGAATTAATGGACTGTTACGCATTCTAGGCTAATGAAAAATTCTAATATGTTATATGCTTATATTTAATCTGTACTATAATATGAACTTCTAATATTTTAAAATAAAGAATATCCCTTTATTTAGTTAGCTAAGTTTCACCAAATTCTTCATAGTTAATGGTAGTCAACTGTTCCTACTGGATGAGTCATTCTTTTTTCATTTAATGTTGAGAAAATTGCCTCTTCACATCAATTTGGCCACATAGGTGAATTTTATCCATATCGTAACCAGATATTTAGATGGGATGCAGGACCAAAATTTGTGACACTCCACTTAATACCTTCTACTTCTTCTCTGTTAAAATTGAATAATGTATTAGTTTGTCTACTTAAAATTTTCTTGTCTGGTACACTTAAGTTTTGTTTAGTACATTATGTTACATATAAATAATTACTTTGAATGAGATAGGTGAAGCAAAATAAGGCTTATGATGAAAATCCAATATGATTCTTGGAATCCTTTTAAATATTTAAATTTAAAAAGAGGCTTTCATACTTTTCTTTGTTCCCCATATCTGACTCACTCTAACTCTATAAGTCATCAATGCACAAATGTAAAATTATTGTCTTAGGAAGTTAGAGTGAGTCAGATATAACCTATCTGTTGGATAAAAGACGTAATTGTTATAGTTAGTATGCTGGAATTATGAGTAAAGCCTCAAACAACTAATTAAGACACACTAGAAAATGCTGCATATAAGAGGGAGATATTTTAAGTACAGCTTTAAAATAAAGTCCAAGTGAAAACCAATAAAATGTATTATCTATTGAGCTATTTTTGATAAACATTCATGTTTAAAATTTAAATAGTGAAGTATTAGATACTTAAACATGAAAACAGTTTTGCCATTCTAATGAATTATTCATAAGCTTTAATAAGCAATCGAAACATGCTTGACATAATTATGTAATTTAATATATATATTTAACGAAATAATAACTATGTACTATGTGCCAGATATTGTACTCAGTCCCGTGAAGCAATGATACAGTCTCTACCTTCCTAGGATTCACGCTCAAAAAGAGGTATGACCATATGGTATATGTAAGTGAAAAAATCTTGAGAGATTGTGTATGTGTAATTGCTTCTTACATTGATTCCTGATGGCACTTAACATTTTACTTCATATCTGCCTTTTGATTTGCAGAAGTACACGGAAGTTACAAAGCAGCAAATCCACATTGCCATAACTGAATGCCAATACTTTTCCACATTGTCCTGATTTCTGCCTGGTTACTTATCTCTGTTTATGAATTCTGGACAGTAGTATAATAAGTCTTTTCCATATTTTCCTACTTTCTATTTAGTTACTTTTCTCTGTCAATGAATGCTAAATAGCGTACATAGTCAGGCTGGCATTACCACAAATTTTGTTGGCAGTGATTTGTTGCTCTCCGTGGTACTGAAATATCATTGTGGGCTGAAAATTAGTTGTTTTTTCCTAATTCTTTGACAGGAGTGATTACTGCCCAATCAAGAATTCAAAACATGGAGAGAAAAGGTCTGATGGGGGGAAGGAAAGATCAAAAACAGAAAGTCTTAAAGGAAAGATTTAACTGTTCATCAATAAATGGTTGGATTTAGGTATTTTATTCTCTTTGAAGCAATTGTGAATGGGAGTTCACTCATGATTTGGCTCTCTGTTTGTGTGTTGTTGGTGTATAAGAATGCTTGTGATTTTTGCACATTGATTTTGTATCCTGAGACTTTGCTGAAGTTGCTTATCAGCTTAAGGAGATTTTGGGCTGAGACACTGGGGTTTTCTAGATATATAATCAACTTACAAGGGATGTGAAGGACCTCTTCAAGAACTACAAACCACTGCTCAAAGAAATAAAAGAGGATACAAACAAATGGAAGAACATTCCATGCTCATGGGTAGGAAGAATCAATATCGTGAAAATGGCCATACTGCCCAAGGTAATTTACAGATTCAATGCCATCCCCATCAAGCTACCAATGACTTTCTTCACAGAATTGGAAAAAAGTACTTTAAAG
The DNA here is from genome assembly GCF_000001405.40 of Homo sapiens. NCBI lineage: Eukaryota > Metazoa > Chordata > Mammalia > Primates > Hominidae > Homo > Homo sapiens. Next base: position 153,864,817 of record NC_000002.12, read on the forward strand.
TTCATATGGAACCAAAAAAGAGCCCGCATCGCCAAGTCAATCCTAAGCCAAAAGAACAAAGCTGGAGGCATCACGCTACCTGACTTCAAACTATACTACAAGGCTACAGTAACCAAAACAGCATGGTACTGGTACCAAAACAGAGATATAGATCAATGGAACAGAACAGAGCCCTCAGAAATAACGCCGCCTACCTACAACTATCTGATCTTTGACAAACCTGAGAAAAACAAGTAATGGGGAAAGGATTCCCTATTTAATAAATGGTGCTGGGAAAACTGGCTAGCCATATGTAGAAAGCTGAAACTGGATCCCTTCCTTACACCTTATACAAAAATCAATTCAAGATGGATTAAAGATTTAAACGTTAGACCTAAAACCATAAAAACCCTAGAAGAAAACCTAGGCATTACCATTCAGGACATAGGCATGGGCAAGGACTTCATGTCCAAAACACCAAAAGCAATGGCAACCAAAGCCAAAATTGACAAATGGGATCTAATTAAAATAAAGAGCTTCTGCACAGCAAAAGAAACTACCATCAGAGTGAACAGGCAACCTACAAAATGGGAGAAAATTTTCGCAGCCTACTCATCTGACAAAGGGCTAATATCCAGAATCTACAATGAACTCAAACAAATTTACAAGAAAAAAACAAACAACCCCATCAAAAACTGGGCGAAGGACATGAACAGACACTTCTCAAAAGAAGACATTTATGCAGCCAAAAAACACATGAAAAAATGCTCATCATCACTGGCCATCAGAGAAATGCAAATCAAAACCACAATGAGATACCATCTCACACCAGTTAGAATGGCGATCATTAAAAAGTCAGGAAACAACAGGTGCTGGAGAGGATGTGGAGAAACAGGAACACTTTTACACTGTTGGTGGGACTGTAAACTAGTTCAACCATTGTGGAAGTCAGTGTGGCGATTCCTCAGGGATCTAGAACTAGAAATACCATTTGACCCAGCCATCCCATTACTGGGTATATACCCAAATGACTATAAATCATGCTGCTATAAAGACACATGCACACGTATGTTTATTGCGGCATTATTCACAATAGCAAAGACTTGGAACCAACCCAAATGTCCAACAATGATAGACTGGATTAAGAAAATGTGGCACATATACACCATGGAATACTATGCAGCCATAAAAAATGATGAGTTCATGTCCTTTGTAGGGACATGGATGAAATTGGAAATCATCATTCTCAGTAAACTATCGCAAGAACAAAAAACCAAACACCGCATATTCTCACTCATAGGTGGGAATTGAACAATGAGATCACATGGACACAGGAAGGGGAATATCACACTCTGGGGACTGTTGTGGGGTGGGGGGAGGGGGGAGGGATAGCATTGGGAGATATACCTAATGCTAGATGACGAGTTAGTGGGTGCAGCGCACCAGCACGGCACATGTATACATATGTAACTAACCTGCACAATGTGCACATGCACCCTAAAACTTAAAGTATAATAAAAAAAAATAAATGGTTGGATTTATTTATCCATTCAACAGGAATTTACTGTACGAAAGGCACTGTGCTTTGAATAAAGTTACAACAACCACCTCCCTTTATAAACAAATAAATCTATTTTTTTTGCTCTCATATATCCTACTATATAGTGGAGAAAATATATACAAATCACCGTCATGGAAAAATGTAAATTTGCCACTGTGTTTGGTGCAAATGACAGATGATATAAGGCTTTATGGATAATAAGATAAACTAGAGCAAATTTGAGTGTATTAGTATAAAGCTTAGTTTAAAACTAATTATACTTTCTTCATGTCATGAAATTATTGTTACAAAACCTATAATAATAAGATATATTGAATCATAAGACTTCCAAATAAAACAAATAAAACTTTAAAACTTTTAATGAGATATTGCTTTCATAAAGTCAACATTTTAACAAAAGATTTTATGCTTGAAGTAGCTATATTATTTACTGATTGTGACATTTTAAATGATTGTGTAATAGGTTTATCATCATAAATGATGAGAAAATTTGTCTGCACAAGTATAGGTGAGAAAGATTGTAAACATTTGCTTCTATGACCAAATATTTACATCAGTTAAAATCTTATTTAAAATATATCATCTCTACTTTTCTTTCATTAATTGATTCAAATTTTTTTGTGGCTATCCATGGATTTTATCAAATCTATTCAACATAATGATAAAGCTTGAATATGAAGAATGCCCGTGCATTATAAGAACAGTCAATCTGCAGCTGACATGGTTACCACTAAAATAACAAATCAACTATATATGAAATAGAATTACTTAATCTTTATGTTGCTAAATCTTTGTGTTATTAGCTGGAGCTATTCCCACTAGCAGTTTCTGCCCAACCTCCTTGCTTTCCCACCCACAATGGGCTATACTTTGAACTGCACATGCAGGCCATTCTCCAAGAAGCTCTTATCAAGTTTCTTATGATCCAGGCTATCTAATTACGGGCCCTAGCAACTTGAGGCTACACTACTTGGCTACTTCTGATGGGTGTAGTGATCGATATGTTATGGCATATCTATAAACTATTTGTGGTGCATGAGTTGAAAAGCTCAACTCTTAGCCTATTTCAATTTTCTTCTAGAATTTATTATCACCTGACGTAAATACACACCTACTTATTTATTTGGTTAGGATAGCCCTCCCCAACATTTTTGGCCCCAGGGACCAGTTTTGTGGAAGACAATTTTTCCACAGACTGGGAGAGGGGATGGTTTCAGGATGATTTAAGCACATGACGTTTATTGTGTACTTTATTTCTATTATTATTACATTGAAATATATTATGAAATAATTATCTAACTCACCATAATGTAGAATCAGTGGGAGCCCTCGGCTTGTATTCCTGCAACTAGATGGTCCCATCTGGGGGTGATGGGAGATAGTGACAGATCATCAGGCATTAGATTCTCATAAGGAGCACAACCTAGTTCCCTCACATGTGCAGTTCACAATAGGGTTCACACTCCTAAGAGAATCTAATGCTGCTGCTGATCTTACAGGAGGTGGAGCTCAGGCAGTAATGTGAGCAATGAGGAGTGGCTATAAATACAGATGAAGCTTCACTGGCTCACCCATCCCTCATATCCTTCTGTGTGGCCCAGTTCCTAACAGGCCATGGACTGCCATAGGTCTGTGGTTCGGGGGTTGCAGACCTTTGGGTTAGGACATACCTCAGCAAAATGTAGTATTCATGAAGGCAGGATCTATATCTTTTTTCTCACTGCTAGACAGTGCTAGGCATTTTCTTCTTCTCACTGGTAGGCACTGGGAATATAGCAGTGAGCATTAGCCTTAGCTCACTGCTGTATTCCCAGTTCCTAGTAAATAACTGTCATTCTGTAAGTGCTCAATGTATATTCATGGGATGTATGACTGAACCCTAAGTTTTGTGCAGGCTGTCTTTACTTTCCTCTTTGTCTTCAAAACCTATTGCAGTGCTTAGCTCATTGTAAGTACAAAGGAGGTAAGCAGAGCCCCAGAGTATAAAGGTTCTTATAGGGCATGTTAGAGATTTTAGACAATTTCTTAAAATCAATGAGAAGCCACTTAAATGTTATAATTAGAAGAAAATATTATTAGATTTCATTTTAGAAAATAAAGTTATTGCTTTCAGTGTCCCTTAATAATGGCATCTCCATCATCCTACTCATCCAATCTTAATCTCTTAAAGTTATATAATACATTTTCCTTTATCCATCATTCCTAATAATTTGCCAAAACCTGGTAATTTAATTTCAGCAAGACATAACTATCTCACCCTTTATTTCCCTTTAGAATGAGCGCCTTGGTTAATCACATAATGGACAATTGTAGCTGCTAAACTCATATCCCTGTCTTTTGTATACTCTGTAGCTAAGGCCCTATACATTTGGCCTTATATTGGCCAATAGACATTCTTGGCCTGGTAGCCCTTGTATTGGCCTTATAGCCAAGAATTGTACAGTATTGGTCTTACCATTTATCTAAGCAAATACTTGCAATAGCTCCACTTTGATTAAAGATAAATGCCAAACTTTCTGTTTGAAAAAATATGACTTTTTAATAACTTTCAACACTCATTCAGATAAATTATTGTGGTTATTATTCTTATGAGGTAAATAATGATAACTACCTGATTTTTAAAAAAGTATTTAAACTTCAAGAAATATTGCAAAATTACTACAAAGAATTAACACATACCCCTCACCAAAATTTACCAATGGTGTTATAAAAGGTTGCCACATTTGCATCATCATTCTCTCTATAGGTATTTCTGGACCTTACAACCTCTATGTTCTTTTTACTGCAAAATATTTTATTATATTTTTTAAAGATCCAGGGCTTTCTTATATATGATCACAATACAATTAAATTAGGACACTTAATATTGATATAAAACTAATTTGATTATAAATAAAAGTCATACAGTTTAGATATTATAGTTTTTATTAATATTTTGAATTAGATTGTCTCAGTAATGCTCTTTATATTAATAGATATTATTCCCAGTTTGCTCTCCAATTCTGGATTACACATTGCATTTAGTAGTCATGGTTTTTAAATCTCCATTAGTCTGGAATATTTCCTCAGCTTTTCTTTGACTTTCATCACAGTGACATTTTTGAAAAGTATAGGCAAGATATTGTGTAGAATTTTCCTTAATTTAAGGCTTTCTTTGCTTTCTCGTGATTGCATTCAATTATGCATTTTTTAATCTGGAATCCTAAATCAATAATGTTATGTACTTCTCAGTGCATCATATCATGAGGCTCATGATATCACTTGGTCCCATTATTGGTGACTTTAACCTTGGTCAGTTGGTTAAGGTGATGTTTACCAGATTTATCCACTACATGTAATTTATTATTCGTTTGTAATTAAGGATCTATAGTATATTATAAAAACAGCCTCAAGTTATTTTTGTGTATGCATTCTCCTTGAAATATGGCATTATAGTTTCTCCCATCAAGACATGGACTATATTATCTATGTTTGGGCCATGTAACTTCCATGGCTAATGAGACACCAGCAAATGTACGTCCACAGAATCTCAGAGTACTTCACATTGGAGCTTGCACTCCCTTGTTGCTTTTTGGAGCCCTGCAACTACGACTACTGCTAGCCTATTGAAGGATGATGGGCTAGATTAAACAAAAGACAAAACATTGCAGCTGAGTCCCACACCCTCAAGACTAATAAGTATGCCACACCAGACAAGTGAGTGAAGCCATCCTAGATCTCTAAACCAAACTGAGCTAGCCAGGGCAGAAACCAACCTGACAACCCACAGAGCTTTGAGAAATTACAGATGTTTATTGGTTGGGGCTAATAAGTTTTGGAATGGTGTGTTATGCACCAAAAGCCAATACTTTCTAGGGTGATACTTTGGGACTACGTAAATATCCAATTACCCAAATAAATTTTACCAAGTTTATGATTCTGCCTAAGTTAAATATTATCACAAAGACTGCAAAATGGAATTGCGCCTTTTTTTAAGAGATGAAACATGTAAGAATGGGGGCTTATTTGTCTTTGAAAAACATAGGACTAGTAAGTAGCTGTATCAGCATCAGAACCCCAATCTTTTACCTGGTCCACAGTTTTTCTCAGTATGCCATGTAGAGGTGAGTGACCTGATGTTAGGACTGGAATTCACTAGAGAGAGCAGTAGAGAGACATTCCAGAGTGTTATGAGTGGGACCCTGTGTACTCACACATGCACAGAAGCATCTCTGGTAAATGCTCCATAATTGACGGTAGGGCAGGATGGACAATGTAGGAGGAGACATTAATACAGTTATTAACATAGAAATTTAAATGATACTTGACTCACGAAAAGATATAAAGATAATATCTCTGGAAATTGCCTTTCATGAGTATAATCAAGAATGGCATTGACATACTAGATTATGATTAATAGTATCATATGTTTGTCAAACGTGGCTGTTTAATATTTTTATGTAGTCGTTATATCCTCCCCCAATTCTGCCAAAAACATCCTATAAGATGTGTGAAGTGACACTGTGAGAAGCAAGGACCCCTGTCAGCCCTTATTACAAACAAGACAACTGACACCCGAAGGGCCAAAACTAGCCAAGAGCCACAGTGAATAAATTGCCAAGCAGGCACTTGAACTCGGCAATCCCAATTTCCTAGAAAAGTTCCTCTCCCATGGCAGTGGGGGACAGGTCCCAAGTCTTTGAGACGCTAATAATGTCTGCGTCTTAGGTTTCTGCCTTGTGCCAGGCACTGTTCTAAAATCTTTACATGTATTTAAACTCAGTACCATGGGGGTATTGGTACAACACATTAACTGAGACATTCATACGTCCAGGTACTTCGGAGTGGGTGTGTGTTTAATATCATACCTACTTGCCTGAGAAAGGAATTCAAAGCCCCACTTTTTTCTTTACCTCTTCATAAAAATTTGAGAGCCACAAGGAAGCGCTCTGTGTTTCCAGTACTCTTACAGTGCGTTCGGTGGCAGTAGTCACCGCCAACCAGAACACTAGGATCCTGCCAGGGTGTAGATACTGTAACCAACAAGAGGCCAACCTCCGTCCTTTCTGCGGAGGGCGCCGAAGCGTCAAGTACCCCGCAGCATCTCTCGGCTGGAGAGCCGACGGCAAGGGTGGGGTTGCCGGCGCTTTCCCCGAGGGCAGTCTCTGATCCTCCAGCTCCCCTCTAAGAGGCTCCCTGGTGCATTGGGCGAACGCGGTGCACGCAGGCCGGCTTTGGCGTTGTGGGGCCCCAAAGCGGCCAGGGGTCGCGAGGCGCCCTCCGGCGAGAGGAGCTGACCCCAGGGTTGCTCTTGGGGGCCGTGCCTGCCAAGTATCGCGGGACTTGCGCACATCGCAGAAGCGCCAGCTCCAGAAGCAGCTGGAGCGCGCTCGGTGCGCACCGCCCCAGCCCGGGGAGGAGCGGGAGCAGGGAGGGAGGAGGGCTGGGGGTGCTGGTTACGTAAATGATACTAGCCCAGTGAGAGGCCTCCAGGCTGGGGCTACGAGAGGAGGAGGGACCACGCGAGGAGGAGGGACCGGGAGGCGGCGGGCTGGGGTGGGAGGGGGGCGGGGGCCGGGGAGAAGTGACCAGGCGGCGGCGGCTCTGCTGAGGTGACAACGTGCTAGCAGCCCTCGCTCGCTCTGGGCGCCTCCTCGGCCTCAGCGTCCGCTCTGGCCGCGCTCGAGGAGCCCTTCAGCCCGCCGCTGCGCTATGAAGGCCCCTCTCTGGGGCTGGCCGAGGCTGGAGCCGGCTCCCTCTGCTCGCGGGCAAGTGTGAAGAGAGAGGCGCGGGCGGGAGCCGGGGCTGCGCGCGGCGCTCGCGGGCCGGCGCGGGTTCCAGGTGAGCGCGGACTCGGCGAGCCCCGCACTCGGCGCGGCCGGCCGGCGCCTGCTGGGCTTGATCTGAGGCTGAATCCCGTGTGTGGACCGCCGTTCCCTCTTCGCGGGATCGTTGGCCAGGATAGCAGGTCTCCGTCTCTTTCTCGCTTCCCCTCTTTTCCTCTTGATTGTCTGGGACGAGCTCCCTCTGGGCTGCCAGAGTGCCGGGGCTAGGTGCCGCAAAGTCCCGCGGCGAGTGCCGGGGCGCGGAGCCGAGCGCCCCGGGCCGGTCCCAGGGCAAAGGCAGGGGCGCGGGCGGACCTGGCGACGCGGCCTCCCGGGAGCTCCGAGTGCGCTCGCTTGCGGGGCTGCAGGTGTTGCGGGAGGACCGCGTGGCGCGGAACTTTCTGCCGCCGCCCACCTTCTGCTCTGCTTTTCTGGCTACCCCGGTGAGTTGTTGGTGGCGGGGGGGGGGGGGGGAGCGGCTCTGGCCCCCTCTGCGTTCTGGTGACGTTCCTCCGCGGGGGTGGCTCGGCCTCCAAGCCCAGACAACTTTCTCGCACCAGCTGCAGGCAGCCCCGGCTGCGTTGCGGGCGTTTCTACTCGACCCGACACCAGGCGCTCCCTGGGTCTTGGGTGTCTTCCTCGACGGTTGCCTTCGTATAGTGCCCCCTTTGCCTCGCTTTTTCAGAGTCCTCTTGCCTCTCATTCTCGCCGTGTGTGTCTCTGCCTCTGTTTCTCTTTCTGAGCCTTGGTCCCCTCAGTCCACACTCTCCGGCCATGTATCTGTTTTTTTCTCTTATTCTGTTTCCCTCTTTCTTTCTTGGGATATCTGTGTCCCTGTTAATCTGTCTTTCCTTTTGTCTCTCCGTTTTGCAACATTTGTTCTCTTTCTGTGTCTGCTTCTCGCAGCTTATCTCTGTCTCCCTCTGTCATCTCTCTGCCCCGTCTTCCCGAACACCAGCCCCGCGATCCCGAAGCGCCTTGGTTAGGGGAGCAAGCCCTGGCGCATCTAATGGGTATCTCCAGGTGCAGAGATTTTCCTGCGGGGTCAGTGGGGACGCGGAGGAGACAGCCTGCCCTTGTCCAGGCTGTCGTGGACCTGAAGGAGGGGCGCAAGGGGTTAGAGTGGAGGGCACCGCAGCAGGCTCCCCTTGCCGGGTCCGAGGGCGCTGCGCTGCTGCGAACCTGAGCGCACTGAGGCTGCTACTCTGGACAGCGAAAGCTGCGCAAGCCCCTCCCGCATACCCGATTCTTTGACTATGGTTAGTTGAATTTCCAGGAGGAGAGTCTGCCTCCCCAACCTTTATAGCCAGCTGCAGAAGAACGGACAGTGAGCAGGCAAACATAGATGCTTTGGGGTTCAGGGAAACTAACCTCGAAAGGGTGGGAGCTTTCTTCAGGCAAAGGTGTTGCTAGCAGAGGAGAGGAGCTTTGGGGACTGAGGTATGCCTGCCTTAAACTACCATGCATTCATTGCTTAGGAAAGCGGTTTCCTTGGAGAGATCGTGGTCAGCCTTCCCTGAAACAACATAACAACATAGAGGTTTTATTCGCAAGGCTAAAGGCACTTGGCTGCCAAAGCCCCCTTGAAATTTCTGGTATCCTTGAATATTTTCAGCTTTATGTGAAAGCTGCCTTTCCTCAGAGTCTCAGTCCGTCTCTCTCTCTTTCTCTCTCTCTCTTTTTCTGTGTCTCTCTCTCTCGCTGTCTCCCTGTCTCTCTCTCTCTGTCTCGTTTGCGTTCATGCCCTCTAGTGTTAAAGAAACCTGCTGGTTCGAGAATATTGAAAAGTAAGGTCAACCTATTGGTTATTTACTTTTGGACCTCTCACCTTCCGGGATAATTCTCCTTGTATTACACGCATCCTTTCCTTTTCCTCAAAGAATGACTTTTGCATTACATTACTAATCTTTCTTTCCCCCCGCACCCCCCTCCCGCAATCTCTGTTTTTTTTTTTTTTTTCTTTCCCCACGTCTCCTGCAGAATAAGAACCTTCATATTGAAACCCTGTTCGTTTGATTTGGGAATTGGATAGGTCTGGAGAATTTGCGTAGCCTAAGGCAGACTTTGAACATTAAAAAGATGCATTTCTCTGCACTGTTTGCCATAAACCAGGATTTCACATCTCTCCTTTAGCCCCTATCCACCTTCAATTCCATGGAGAATTTTCCTGGCTGCTTCTGCTTGTTTAAATAAATGCTTTTATTTCACCATTTCTGTGATGCTTATCCCATTCCAGGGCTTAAGGTACTTGCTTAAGTAGGGGCACTGTGTCTCGGATCCGCTTTGGAGAGGAAGAATAGAAAGCTTTTCTAAAGGAATTATAGGGTACTGCTGGTATAGATTAATTCCAGTTCGGAAAGTCCTGAGTGGGAATGTGAGAATGGAGGCTGTCTCAGATATGTAGTCCCTAGGACAGTGTGGGGAAACTAGTAAGTGCTTAATAAAACTTGTTGGTTGATTGATTAGCATGCAGCGGATCATAGGCTTCCAAGTTACCAGGTATGCTAAGGAGCCTGCAGCTAAATTCCACCTCCCCGCTCCTTTTTTGGGAGGTTTCATTTAGATTTTTTATGAATGGTAATTGAGAACTAGTAGAAGGGATATTGAAACAGGGGTCTTCTGCTTCTTTGTAGTTCATGTTATTGCTTGAATTTGCCCCTTTTTGCAAGTCTACAACTTGGCTGGTGTTCTTTAACACAGTCATTGCAGAATTGAAGAAATGAGTTTAGAGGGGCCCTGAAATGTGGCATCTCTCAATCTCCTTACCTGAAAGTAAGTTGGGACATGGCATCATTTTTGGGTGAATACTTTCATGTGGTTTCTAACAAGTGAAAAGTTCTCTCTTTTAATATAAAGAACAGATATATCAGCTTAAAATACTTGGGGGCTATATATTGATCTGTAAGCTGGATCACTTACCCTAAATAATTTATGGATTCCCCTACTGCTTCATATATATATATATATATGAGATGTGCGATACTGCATGAATGTGAGAATTTCCTAAAGTACCTGGAAACATAATGCCTCCTAATTCAAAGTAATAATAGAAATCCATGGGCAGCAATACTACTTTCTTGATGATATGCTAGTCACCTCTTAAAATAGTTGCTAATTTATCATGAGTATGGTGCAGGAGCATGTTCAAAGCAATTTTTCTTTAAAAATATTATTTATAAATCACTTGATACTGTACCCAATTTTTATATTTAAAAATAGCAAAGACATAATGAAGGTGGAAAATCTGATATTGTTTGAGAGACCTTCTATTTGTTTTACAGGTTTAACTTATGCATCTAACTTTTTAACTTACTGGGCAGTCATTTCAGTTTAAACAGTTATGTCAGAGTGAACTATGTTGTTATCATGCCAAGTTGATTTCTAGAAATAGTAGTTGTAACAGGAGCATTTTCATGTAATAGAGCTTGTACAGCTTATAAAGACTTCGGGATTTTAGGAAAGGGGTGAGATAAGAAGTAACAGTAACAAATGGGTATTTTTATTCTTTATGAATGGGCAGATGAAGAGAATCCTGGTGTTTCTGAATAATAACAGTCGAGAAAATGCTTGAGAATAAAGTAGGAATAGAATTAAGCCTTACTGTCTAAAATAAATTATAATGCTACATATCTCTGTTAGGTGTTCATTGTCCTTTTAAAAATGGACACTTCATATAGTTATGACCTTTAACTAATTTGCCTTATTAGACATGATATTTTAAAGAGAAACCTCTTGCAACAAACAACACATTCTTGACAGCGACTCTTAGTACATCACCTTCTTGTATTTGTGTCCCTGTCAGAAGGAACATGTAGACATCTTAAATCTAATGGGATCTAACAGGATCACTGCTTTGAAGTCTGAATGACCATATGCCTAATTATCAAAGGATTTAAACTGGGCTTTGGTTCTAAATCCTTCCCTCTGCTCTTGTCATCAAAATAAACACATGTGAAACATCAAATCAAGTCCTACATATATATACTCATATTTATTCTGACAACCTATTTAATGACATTTCTAACAGCAACCCCCCCACACTACACACACACACACACACACACACACACACACATACACACACAGTGGCTAAGCATATGTTTGAAAACGTAAATCACATTTAAAGATCTGGCACTGTCTGCTTTGATAAACCATTTATTATTTTATCAGATTAGACTTCTGTTTACAATTTCTATCAAGGCACATTGTTGAAGGACTTCTGCCATTCAAATATATGCATACCTGTGTTTGAAAAGTCTGGTTTTTCATTGTGAAATTTAGCTTTTCAAGGAAATTTATGAAAATGAATACATTTAATTCAGTAATAGTCATCCGTTTGGGGCATTATAAACAATTATATCTAGTTTTTGGGAGGAGCAGTGTAAACCAAACAGACTTTAATCACTTGATATTTGTTTCTTCTTGATTTCATATTTAGACCTGTGTCTGTGTTTTCAGTGTAGTGTATCTATTATAATACATTTAATTGGTGTTAGCTTGATTACCAAGAAATGATTACAGGTGGCTAAAGACATCTGTGTGATTCTGATTACTGTGTGCTCTCATGTCCTTAAATTCATTTATAGCTATGAGTTTTTCAAGCTGTTTTTAGTATGTCTTTAGACTTATACATTTAAATGAAATTCTTAATTTTTAAAAGTTATCACTGCAGAGATTGATGGGATCTAAAATTTAAATTGTTAAGTTAAAGTTGGGAGACATGCTTTTCCTTTAAGGGCTCAACTTCATTCAATGTCCACGTAATTAGAGTCCTCATGAACTGTCAGGCTCTCTCTTAATGTGTACACTACCATAATTACCTACCCTTCAGAAATGAACTCAAACACAATTCAAAATATCAGTTATTAAAAATTGTTCCAGGTTAATGGTTAATCCTCTCAAGATAGTTTGAGAGGGATGTAGGGAGAAGAATGACTATTATTACCATAGATATGAACATATTTGTTATCATCTTGTAGACTATGTGAGAAAATTAAATACAATGTCCATAATAAATACTTAGATTTCTTTCATATTTTTTAAAGATATGCTCATTGTTAAGATAGATGGGGGCTGTGCAAGATATATCATGTTAAGGTTTTAACATGAAGAGGAATTAATTGGGACTCTGTTTCATATATTCCACTACATTGAATTGTCACTTAAATCTTATTTAAGCTCTTATACAACATTTTAGGAAGAGTGTGATTAATCTGCTTGTTGACACATTGGTGAACGTAATGCATGTGGTGAGTAGCCACTGTAAACAGAAAGAAGAATTTAAAAGCATAGCACAATCAAAAATCATCCAAATAACATCTTGAAGATAGTAGTAAATGTCAACTTAGTCTCTTGTCTTATATTAATTGCCTTGATATTACAAGCAAAGCACCTCTTTTTTGTTAATAAAGTGGATTTTGACATATGAGGAGGATTATGTAGCTTAGAAGCATAATAACTGACTTAATTTCCTCTTGAGATTATTATTATATAATTAGTTTCAGATAGAGAAGGTGAGATTTATATGACTATCAAAACCCCAATGAAATACAACCATTAGTTTAAAGAAAGAAAAATGGAATAAAATATATGTAAAGGTGTATCCATTCCAGCTTATTTATGAAGAAGGTAAGATGGTGTATTGGGTTATAAATTGATAAAGTGGCTAAAATTCGTTGGTTGTTTACTTTGTATTTGTACTGTGGTAAGTAAACATCTGGCAGGTCTTAACATGTTTTATCTTTATAACAACAATATGAGTAATAGTATGTTACTGTTGCCATTGTATAAATGAGGCATCACCTCAGAATCACACAGCTAATATGTGTGAGCATCAAGGATGACACCAGTTTATTCTGCCTTGAAGCCAATAATCTAATAGTTCTCAGTCTGACATTTTCACTGACTGATAATTTAAAAAAATCAAGTGGTAAACTTTATGTGATTATTTTCTTTTGTATAGTAAGAATGATTGAAAAAGTCTACTTCTATCATCTCAATTTTATAAAAGTGGATATTTTAACACCAAATAACATGGAAGAACTGAATCTCAAAATAAATAATAGTTATTTAAAGAGAATAAATTAAGCTCCCTGTACATTTTTCCACATTGTACTCATTTTCCTAATTTCACCCAAGACTGATGAAAATTTCATCACAAAAAATTTCCCGTAGATTGTGCTTGGATGCCCATCTTACTCTGAACCACTGTGATATGCTGCCTACTCTATGCACCCACACAGCTCTGGCCGGCATGGTCATCATATTCATGACTTGATGACATAATGCTTATAGCTTATTCCATTCTCTTCCTAGTTTCAAATAAAATTTGGACCTAGGAAAGATGCTAGCACTTGCTTTAGCCTTAGTTTACTGTGTTAATGTTTGTTGAAATGATTGGAAGATTAGGGATGACTTGTTCCTTCTTGGTAGTTAACTGCCATTTACTGACACTAAGATGGTGCCACTCTGTGTCCTGGGATTGGAAATGAATATTGGGCAATGACAAAAAGAGCTTGTCAGAACTAATTTCTCCATCTTCCCTCCAAAAAACACATCCCAACTTGTACGGGTCAGTTTGCTCCATTTTTACTTCTTTGCCTTGGCGAAAGTGAAGCAGGTTTGGTTAGTGCTCTTGTAAAACTGGTGGTTGGTTTTACATCCCAGGTTGCTTTAGATAGTGTCTATTTGGGCCATCAAAGAGGAAAAGAATACTGGTGGAGTGTGTGAAATGTGGCTAAATTGACCTAAGACATTAGTTTCATTTCTACCAAAGCAGGTTGTAAATCCAAATTACCTTGAGTTTATTTATTCATTGTAGTTACAGGTGTTCAGGTCCCACTGATACAGAGTCTCATTTAACTGGGATGGATCCACAGAATCTACCTTTATGCACATTTTCCTATGTGATTCTGAGGTGCAGTGACATTTCAAGCAACTAATCTGCTTGTAGTATATCACTTAACAGATTTATTTAACAAAACACAGCAATTACTATGCCCCAGAGTTGTTCTAAGTGCTTTGCAGATATTGATTCATTTAATCATAAAGACCTTCAAAAGTAGATTTTATTAGTATTCTTATTTTAGAGACAAGGAAAGTGAGTCACAGAAAGGTTAAGTAAGTTGGCCAGTGTAAGAAGATCAGTGGAAGGGCAAGGATGATGTTAATTTTGATAAAATAATTAAAACTACCTACGTGTGTGTGTGTGTGTGTGTGTGTGCATGTGTGTGTGTGTTCTGAGACAGAGTCTGCCTCTGTTACCCATGCTGGAGTGCAGTGGTGCAATTATAGTTCACTGTAGCCTTAAACCCCTTGGCGCAGCCTCCCAAGTAACTAGGACTACAGGCATGTGCTGCCATGTCAGGCTAATTTTTAATTTTTTTTTTTTTTGGTAGAGACAGAGTCTCACTATGTTGCCCAGGCTGGTCTTAAACTCCTGGCCTCAAGTAGTCCTCCCGCCTCAGCCTCCCAATGTACTGGGATTACAGGCATGAGCCACTGATCCTGGCCGTGCTTTGAGCCACAAAACTTGAAGTAGCAGAATTGAAAACAGAACACAGATTTCTATGTCTTTTCCCTATTTGAGTAAGTTTTGCCTTTGAAAGTGAAGGAAGAAAAGCTGATATTTCTCGAGTTGGAAAATTTTTAAAAAGTTTATATTTTAGAAGTTGTTGCACCAGATAAATAAATATAATTATGAATGGGATAGTAAACATGGAAAAATCAGAGTGGTTTTCCTCAAGTAGTGTCATCATTGACTTGGCCTCTAATTAGACCAAAACAATATTAATAATCAGTAATACATAATGTTGCAGACAAGAATATTTTTAAAAGATTTGGAAAATAAACAGCTGTTTGTTTCAATCCATAACAAAATAACCATATATACTTCAAATACGTAACTAAGATTTACATCTTTATACTAAATAAGAAACAATTTATTTTCCTGTAATGCTCCTCATAAGATCTTTAAGTTACATTAGGAAATATTCATATTTATGGAAGGATTGGGGAAATTCTACCTAAATTTATGGATTTTTTCTCAATAATTTTTGTAAGCTTTGTATAAGATGGAATATTTGTAATTTATAATCACTTGTGAAAACTGATGTATTGATCTTTAACAAAGTACATTTTCTCCTTTCTGTTATTTAATATTTTTGTTTAATACACTAAAATAATCTTGTAAAATGGCTTTTCTTTGGTGTTTTTTAAAATGAATTTTATTTTAGACCGATGTTTGATTAAATTATGTAAATTATTTGAATTCTAAACCCCCAATAATGAGTCATTCCACTTGTGTGGTTTAAAAAAGAGTTAAAAATCGGCATTTAGAAACAATGTGATTTCCAATTCAGTAAATGATTTAAGGGTTTATGGGGTTACTGACTATTCTACTTTCAAGACTCACTACCATCTTTTCTCTTTTTCTTATAGCAAATTTCACCAGGATTCCTGAGACTTATATTTCTTCGATTCTCTTGATCATTCAGTCTCAAATAGGATTATATATCACTTGTCCTGAAAAATATTAGAAACAGTCTGTCACTGAATATGGTGCAGATTTTATTCATATGTTATAGATTTTAAGCATACCTTTTGATTTTTTTCTTAAGGTAAATACTGTATTTATTATTTTTTAGTATTCTTTTTCTTTGCTCCATATCTTGTTCTTTGTTCTTCTTTCCATTCTTCTTCATGGTGCTTTTTGCTTTAAATTGTCTCTCTTTTATGACTTAATAAATCTTCATGTAGCCAGACTGAACTATGTATTGGTTTCCTTGATTCTGGTAAAACAAAACAAAACAAAACAAAAAACAAAAAAGGAAATTAAAAAAGGCTGTTCATTTAATCATTTAGTTTCTGAATAGGTAAGAGACACTATAGCTCTTGCATCTAGGTCATTTAACAGGTGGAAGGGGATGCTAAATTTGCATCTCATTACCTTTGTCTACTTTTAGAGTTGTGTGCTTGGGCCCTGTGGTCAGTTGGCAGGTGGCAGGCCATGGCTCCAAAGGAATGCCGTGTTATTTGAGGGGATGCCAATTTCACTTGCCACACGGTTCTCACATTACTTGGTCAGACTTTTTAAAAATAAAACAACCAATATATGGTTCATTATTTATGCTAGATTACTGACTTCACATCAAAAATCATTGTGATATTGATAGGCTGTGATAAATAATTTTAACAATTTATATTCTGTGGTACCCACTGTCAGACTTATGGATAGTATTTCCTCTATTTTGGTAACCTAGAGCAGACATTTTGTCAAAAATTTTTAAAAGACTTTTATTGTTGTGCACTAAAGTTGAGATGAATTGTAGGTAATTGGATGGTACAGCTGAATTAACACATTGAATTGCTAGTTATGAGACACTTCATTTGCTGTTGCAGACAACAATAGGCCCATTTTTGCTTCTACAATGCACAAATTCTTATTATCTATATAAAATGCTAATTCAAGTGGGATAACATGTATACATCATTTCCATTCCTTTTGTAAGGAAAACTAACTTCCACAAATGTAAAATATTTGCAAATATCTCAAATAATTTTGAACTTCAATTAATCTTTTTTTGCAAATGTTAATCAGTTTTCTCATTTTCCACAAACAGAACAGGATATAAGGCATTTCAAACATGAAATCAGTAGTATCAATTTTACCCTGTGTCCCTTAAGGTCTGTGCAGATGGGCAATTCACATTTATCTCAACAGAGATCCTTATTTGAATCATTCTGAAGAACATTATTACTATCATGATTATGGTGACATGCAATAGTGTAATAATTTTGTTGGCTCTTGGGTTTTTTTCATTTAGACTTTTTAAAGTATAGCTTCTTCGTTTTCAATAGATGAGTATCCATTTTAAGAGGAAGGAATAAGAACTATTTTTATCTAAACTATCTCCTGAAAACTCATTAAGTCAAGCATTAAATGGAGGGATTAAAAGTTATAAAACTATTACAAATTGTAGAGAGTAAAGGAAGGCAAAGGAAACTGCCTAGAATGTAGGGGGGGGTCGAGGCAGGGGGAGGTGGGTTGGTGGCTTGAAGTTGAGGAGATTCACTCTGCCCATATTAAGCCCCCAAAGGCCTGAGGCTCAATAATGCTGAAAAAAGTAAAGAACAGAAATGAGAGTCTGGGGCTAAAACAAAATAATTTATCAAACATGTATAGATGAAATAGCCTTGTATTCACAACTCTATTTTCTATGTAAACATCTCTATAGTAAGTTTTTCTCACTCACTCACCTAACTATCCACTCTTAACATGTACTAACTAGCAAGGGACAGCAAGGGCAACTAAGGATGGGTCTTAGAAAAACAATGCCTCTTTTATTTTGGCACTTACAGTCTTTAAGCCTAATGATCAGCTTTTTGCTTGCCCTAAAGCAAAGTCTTTTAGTCAACAAGACCCACTCAAGTTCACAGAGATTTGCACTTTTTATTCCTTTATATTCTTTACTTTTTTTTTTTTTTCTTGAGCCAGGGTCTCTTGCCCAGGCTGGAATACAGTGGCATGATCATAGCTCACTACATGTAACCTCAAACTCCTGGGCTAAAGCAATCCTCCTGCCTTAGCCTCCCAAGGAAGCAGGGCTACAGAAATGTCTCACCACACCCAGCTAACTTTTATAATTTTGTAGAAATGGGGGATCTTGCTATGCTACCCAGGCTGGTATTCCTTCATTCTTAACTACATAAAACAGCAATCAAGGATCACAGACATTTAAGATATAATGTAGGAACAAAAATTTTAGAACGTCTGCAACATGAAAAATAAAGAGACCAAGTTAAAGAAACCAGTAACAACAAAATGACTTTGCAAGAAACACACAGAGGACCATAAAAGAGACAAATATATGTTATTTTTATATATATATCTATATATACACACATATATATGTATATTATATATATATATATATATAATTCTTGAAAAGATCCAGGAAAATATTGCATTCATAAAACAAGTGGATGATATAGAAAAGGAACACTAAATGAGTAAGAAAAACTCTTGGAAATTGAATATTTTCAAATATTTTAAGGGAAAATTTGTGATTTTAAATGGAGAAAAATCTATCAATTCTAATAAAAATGAAACAAGATGGAAAATATGAGTCACAGTGAATCTCCACGAAGCATGACTTCCTAATTGGACGTCTAGTAAGAAAACAAAAAATACAGTTAGAGCAACATTAATGAATTGAGGATAATTATCAAATTTCTGAGGAAAGGTGATTTACAACTCAGCATACCATACCCAGTCAAAATATCCCGTGTCAGGGTAGAATTAAGACATTTTAAGACATATGAAGACAAACGTTATCTTCTTTAAATATAACCTTTCTTGAAAAGTTACTCCAGGTTGAACCTCAGCAAACTATGGTTAAGAAAAACAGAAAGACATGGCATGATGGCTATGTGAAGTAGTCCAGGAAGGTGAACAAATTGTGTTGTTTCAACCTGGTATAGGATTAGTATAAAGAAATGGAGGGTTTGGTTGGTGGGAGGATTTGGGACAAAAAGGGGACATTATAGAATATTTAATGTTTAAGGAGTATTTAAAAAGACAAAAAATGTACAAAGAAAAAAAGTAGAAATGTCAGGTAAAACAAAAGAATATGCAAAAAGGGAAAATAACCATAGGACTTTAGTTGGCTCCAAAATGAATAATATTTTTATATTAAATATACATGGTATTTACTGATTTTCATCTTTTGATTGATTTTCAGTCAATCTTACTTAAAATGTGGAAGATAATTGTGGTGATAGAACAAAATGCAAATATTATCAAGACTGACAATGTCACGATAAACATACAGGTGGCTGAGGTTGGGAATTAGGTATGGGGACTGGAGAGAGTTGAAGGAAAGGTTAGGGATTGGAATAGTAGCATATCACAAAATAGGAGTCAAGAGATAGTGTCTATAGTTAATATAAGAAATAGCACTGATATAGTCCTTAAAATTACAAAGATAACCAACAAGAGGAATAATGACTACATTAGGAGGAAAGATACAGAGAAGTTCTGAATATGATGTGAAGTGACTTAGATAATGGCTAAACTACTTTGAGTTTGCTTGGTCAAACTTGCTTTAATTTTTTTGAAAAAAAAAATGTGATTATGCTTCGATGAGTGTGTACTTCCCAGATTTCCACAGATTCCAACCACTCTCTGTGGAGGCATCATAATCCATAAAGATATTGGGATTTAAAGATTCCATTGTAGAGCTAATAAACAATTAAAAGTGAGTTCCTCTGGGGAGAGGAACTGGTTGGGGTTGAGGGGGTTTACTATATAAAGAAATATAAATTCTTGGCACTTTTGTCACTGAACGTGATAGCAATAATTCCCTATAGTACTACATTATGGGGCTAAGAGGGGAACATTGGATTTAGTCCTGATAAAGCCATTAATAAACTCTATAACATGTCATTTAAGTTCTCTGAATGTCAGTTTCCTCATCTTTAAAGCAACAGGTGCTGGGTTTGTAATCCCAGCACTTTTGGAGGCTGAGGTGGGCGGATCATCTGAGGTCAGGAGTTCAAGACCAGCCTGGCCAACATGGTGAAACCCAGTCTGTACTAAAAATACGAATATATATATATATATATATGTGTGTGTATATATATATATGTGTGTGTGTGTGTATATATATGTGTGTGTGTGTGTGTATATATGTATATACACACACACACACACACACACACACACATTTTTTAGCCGAGCGTCGTGGCACGCACTTCTAGTCCCAGCTACTCAGGAGGCTGAAGGAAGAGAATCATTTTAACCCAGGAGGTAAAGGTTGCAGTGAGCCGAGATTGCACCATTGCACTCCAGCCTGGCAACAAGAGCAAAACTTTGTCTCAAAAGATAAAATAAAGTAAAATAAATAAAATAAAATAAAATAAAAATAAATCAACTGATATTAAAAAGTCCCCAGTACCACTTTGTAGTCTAATGTTTATTTTGTGAAGATAGGTCTATCATTTTATTGAGAATAAAGTGAACTAGAATTTTTCTAGGTATAAAGCCTAAGACTGATACAGAGCTCTTACTTGCTCTGGGTCTTTATTAGACTAAAGGTGTTCATTGCCTTCTTAACAATGATCTTCAGTCTCTGTCCTGTATCCTTTAAGTTTGATTCTTTACTTTGTGTCTAACTGACTTTACCAATCAAATCAGAATCATACATCTTTAGTTTTATGAATGTGTGTAACCAGATCCTAAATAGAATTGTTTTAATAGAACTTTTTTCATTCTTCAAGGCCTTATTTTCCCACAGCTTAATGGTTTTTTTTGCTGATGTAAAAATGCACATTACAAGATGATTGTTTAAAAGATCGTATCTCCATTTCACCTGTTTTCCTAAACACTTTCAAAGCACTGAGGAATAATTTGAAACAACATTTTATAGTGGATTCCAGATAGAGGCAGTACATTTTATAGTTCTCTCTGTTTTTAAACGGTACCAGTTACTGTGATTACCTGATGTGCTTGCAAATTTACAGAAGAATTGGTAAATGAAGGATGGCCATTTCAGTGTTCACAGATGTGAAGATATTGCCATCTTAGATCAGCAGCTGCTCTTGAAATGTTCACTCCTTAGTATCCTTGGGCTAACACTAATTTTGTAGCTGATCAAAATAATTGCTGTAAAGATACTAGCTATTCCTAATTAACGTGAGCATATGGGTAGTTCCCACAAAAAAATTTACTAACCTGCCGGTTGTTGCTGTGTATATGTTCATGCTTTAGCATTCTTAACTATGAACATGAATCAGCAAACTAAAAAATAATCATAGTTAGCTTTCTATGGATAGAAATGGAGAGAGAGACAGAGAGAGAGAAAGAGAGAGAAATGAGGAAGTTTCCAAGGTTCCCCCCATAGTGTAGGATACGTATACCACAAAAATATATTGTGGAAAACTGAGAAAAAATACTTTATTTAATTTATGTGGTAAAACCTAGTCTTTTATAGTATAAAAGGATAGGGGATTCTGAACTGAAAAAAAAAAAACAAATTAACAATGAGGCACTCTTTTTTTTTTAAATTATACTTTTAAGTTTTAGGATACATGTGCACAACGTGCAGGTTTGTTATGTATGTATGCATGTGCCATGTTGGTGTGCTGCACCCATTAACTTGTCATTTAACATTAGGTATATCTCCTAATGCTATCCCTCCCCACTCCCCCCACCCCGCAACAGGCCCCAGTGTGTGATGTTCCCCTTCCTGTGTCTAAGAAAATGTGGCACATATACATCATGGAATACTATGCAGCCATAAAAAGCGATGAGTTCATGTCCTTTGTAGGGACATGGATGAAGCTGGAAACCATCATTCTCAGCAAACTATAGCAAAGACAAAAAACCAAACACTGCATGTTCTCACTCATAGGTGGGAATTGAACAATGAGAACACATGGACAAAGGAAGAGGCACTTTTTAAAGCTGTGAATATCTGTTTTCTCTTGATAGTTTGTGATTACCGTCTCTCTTGGTCCCCTCATTTTACCATTTTCTGGGTGATCTTGATTTGAGGACAGTAACTTGTGGGCAGTTAGAGCTCTTTTGTCCTGTTATTTTATGTGGTTGGTGAATCTAAGGTCCATTAAGTTACATATTAAAGTTGAAGTTCTTGGCAATTAATTAGGACCTTTTAGCATATTAACTTCCTCTTCATTCTAAGATAAGATAAATGTAGAGATTCAAGTTAGGAGACAGTAAAACACAATTAAGTGTTAAAGACACAAGTTTAATTTTGTGGTGCCTGGAATCACATAAATGTAGTTTAAAAATTCTTATATCTAATTACTAGAAGTATGACAGAAGACAGTTACATAGCCTGCATGGAACTTAGTTACCTCATCTTTAAAATGGAGATAATAGTCATAGTAGATAACATGAATACAACCCAGGTCTCTTACTGGGCAAGAAGGTCTCTTTTAAGTGCTTTACATAACATTAACTCATTTAATTCTTACAGCACTATGAGCTAGATATTCTCATCCACCTTATAATTGTAATGACATGAGAGTTGAGGTGACAATGCATGAAATGTACTGATTGTTGTGCTTGGCACTTAGCAGGTGCTCAATAAATGTGAGCTGTTATTTGTGTATCTCCTCTCCGATGGTCCTCTCTTGGTATCTAGTGTGACAGGTGCCTAGTAAATTTGGCCTGCTTAACCGATTTTCGAAATAAAATCTAAGACCTGGAAGAGTTATTGTAAGGAGTTACTGCAAAATTGGGCCCCAAGTGCCAATAAATAAATAGGAGTTAAAGATGGGACTGAAGCCAAGTGAAGTAGAAACAGTAAAACTGTGTTAGTGAAATATTGAGAAATCTTACTTGAGAGAAGGGAAGATAAATGTGTGAAGGCAAAGGTGCATTCATTTCATGATAAATATTATGATATTATACACATTATACACAATGCTAAACAATGACCTACCACTTTGCAAAAAAGTGCATCTAGCTGAGAACAAGGTTGATATCTTCTATTTGGGAATTTCCAACATCACCGCTGATTTTTGTTAGGTGTTCTGTGTTAAGTGACAGCCATCTTGCATTTCCCCCTTAGTTATTTGATCTGCTTTGACTATGTTGTTTTTCTTGTGGAAGAGGCTTAGAGAAATTGAAAGATCAATGCTTTTTGTGTGTGTAAAATAGAGAACATTTTAAAACATTGCCATCCCACCCTTCATTTCTGAATGAAAAAGATGAAACATTGTATATTTCTTATTCTTTAAAGACACAGATTTTATTTTCGGTATGTGATATCTAGTTTTTAATGATTTTTATACATGCTTATTTGGAGACTTTCTGCTTTTTTAATGTGGAAGAAAGCATAATTTGAAATAACAAATTGTAATTGATTTCCCATTTAGAAATATTTGAATTCCACTTCTCTTTTCTTATCAAGTGAGGAGAATATGTTTTGAGCACTGGTATTTTGTCATTTCCTTCATAATAACTTGTGCAAATGATAATTATACATAAATTAATAAACTGCTGGTGGGAATTTAATGATGCATCATACTGTTTTTGATTTATTTCCAAATCATTTGCAGAATGTTGAAATGTACAAGGACTAAGTTTTAAATGTAACCTACAACTTCCTCAGCTCCAAGAACATATTCAGTAAAATAAAATAGTTATTTTTAAAAATGGTGGTACAGAAATAAATTGCATTATGTTTTGTGAGCTTATTATATGAGGACATTATAGGTTATTAAATAGTATTGTATTTATCTGTGTTTAAAAAATGTTTCATATTGCAAGTAAATAAATTATTTTTAAAACCTATTAGAACTTTTGCCATGTGATTCAAGCAATTTTCTAGTGCTGCCTAAAATAATGTTGGGTCCTCATTTGCATTTCCTTAGTGCTCCTGTTTCATTCCATCTTGAAGTTTTGTGTGCCACTTGAAAATACTTTAAAAGTAATTAAAAATAAAATTTTGTTACAAGCTTCAATAACTTTGTAAACAATTTCTACATAAAATATATTTAAAATCAAGTACTAACTCCTGCCAATTCTGGGGACCATGCATGAGGTTAACCATTTTCAACCAAGGTTACATGTACTCACAGACAGACAATTGATTCATTTTCTTGTATTATTGCATCTATCTGCCAACATATTACACCAATTATAATTATTTTATTTATAGAGTGATAGTCAATTGATAATTAATCCTGTAAGTTCACTTTCAGAACAGTCTTCATTTTATTCAACACCAAGCACCTTGGAAGTTAGTAAGTCACAAAAGATGTTTTCCATAGTTATAAAATATTTAGCAATATGATTAATTTTACAGTGTATTCTTCACGAGCATGAAATCAAAGATACACTGTTTCCTAGCACAGGGCAGAGTTGATGCAAACTACCTGTGTGTGTGCTTTTCTGCAAAGCGCTCCTATGGAAAGTTGATTTTTCATTTTTCTAAGTTTCCTGGCAGTTTTTAAGTGTGGTCCTCCACGATCTTGGCCTTGGACACCACTAAAACTAAGTATAAATTATTGATCTTATTTCATAATTCAGATTCATTCTTGACTTTCAGTTCCTTCATTAACTCTAGAGTTTATTTTGACCTGATATTAGATCAAATTAAATTTTGCCAGGTGGATTAAAAAAAAATGCTCCTTATCCCAAACCTTACGTTCAGTATAACTTTCTTGTTAGGTTCTAATCAGTTTTAAGTTTTTAACCACCCTCAAAGCCTTCCTGACACTCTTTTATCCTTCCTCACCCCACACTAACACACTCTAAAACTACTACATGTAGTGGGAGTTACTTTCTGTCTGTTTGCTTTTTATAAAATCTCATATGTATTTATTACTTACCATTGAAAAATTTTATTATGTGATTTTAATCATGTTGTATTATATGCACTTGCCATTTTACTATAATTCACTAAATACCGATGCACTTTTATTTGGCCAGAGGCCTACATCTCACAGTAACTGGGTATATAAAATTGTGGGCCAGTAAAATGCTGCTACATTTTAATATAGAAATGACTGTACTTTATTGATGCATGAAATGATTCCTGCTTAAGCAGTCAGTATACATAATCAATTAATAAATGTAGCTAGTGATTTTGAGATCTACATAGTTTAAGGCACTATGTAAATGCAAGATCAGGCACTTCCAATTTATTGAGATACATACTTACCAGTGGGTTTTCAGCAGTGGGTTCATGCTCATGGCATGCAATTATTGAATGCTTTTTGCAATTATAAAACCCTGGGGGTCCACTGGCCAAAATTTAGTTTTGTGGGTGTGTCTGCACTTCTGCTTGCTTCCTGTGAAGTGTCTGCCCTACTGAAGTCTCATACTATCAAGATAATTGTTCTCTCATTCTTGCTTCTGAGAATTATTTTCTCAATCAGGAAAGAGTAACACCTGCGAAATAGAGCTACATGTTTTCATGAGGCTATTCTATCAAGAAAGGATGTCTTTGTAACATAAACAAACACAAAAATCATCTGTCTATATGAACAGTGTTCCAAATGTATGAATCATGAATTACAAATGTATAAATTACATGTTGTTATTTTGTAGAATTTTTAGTTTTCCTTTTCTGTGTTTTAGTAAATGTGTTCATATTATGTTATTTATGGTTGTATTTTATGGGAAAATATGTGCCTCATTCATTCACTTATCACTGTGCAGGGGTTCAAGGACAGGGAGTTTTGTTAGTATCGACAGTTGTGATCTCATGATATACTTGGCTGATTGCCATCAAACCAGTCACTCAGGGGACTTAAGAATTCTGATCTCATACACAATGTACTTGGTCTCAGGGATAAAATTCACACTGCACCCCAACTTAAAACTTTTTCCCGTGTTGCTTTCTCAATCCAGGTTCACACCTTCTATTTATTAGAAATGGTATGAGTTCCTGCCTTTTAGCTGACACTTTTATCTGGGTCTCCCTCTGTAAGGCTAAATGCCCTTGTTAGAATGGCACAACAACAACAGCAACAAAAACAGAAGAGAAAACAAAAGGAAAGGAAAGGAGCTTGTATCCCCAGACTCATGCTGTGTGGTGGCTGGTTTGTTTCTTCTTTCTTCAGCACATCACTCCTGTGACATGCTGTGCCTCAGACTGCTTGACTGACCTTGCCGTTTAGAGCTGTTAAACCTGAATAGAGCAGAGCTTTTCTTTTCCCTTCCAGTAGGTCTCAGGAGTGAGATCTGGTCACTGGCATTTATTCTCTGACCCTTAACTGTGGTTCCCCTTGAAATGGAGCTAATCAAGGTGTTGTTCCACTTATTTATTGATGCTCATGAAGCATTCATTGTTGGTACATATAATTTTGCCTATTCCTATACTTGAATAAATTCTTTCTTCTACCTAAACTATGGATGTATGTCTACATCTCTTTGCTATTTGTAGATTAGAAAATCCAGAAAGGCAGTCTAACAGAATTCTTTTTGTGCTGTACCTAGCAAAATGCTCTACACAATTAAGTCCTTACTGCATGCATTTAGCTACATGCATTTAATTAGATTGCATATGTACAGATAGGTCCCTTGGGCCTTCCAGAGCAGTAGAGGCTACTTTGCAAAATGATGCAGGCCAAAAAGGATTTAGGTCAGTCAAATTTTTATCTGGCTTTCCCAGTAGGATAGTTGAAACTGCCTTTCTACTTGCTATAAGAATGTCTTCCATGTGACTTTTTTTTTCTTCTCAAATTCCACTGTTAGCTAGTCAGAGATTGTGCACTTTATATGCTTCTTGTCAAACTCATTTGGTATTTGAAATCACAACGCCTTTATGATTTTCACCCAAGTGGCTTCAGAGTTCTGCCACTTATGTCATTTATAAGAATTTGCCTGGAAATTGTTTCCTTTGCAGGAGACATAAGTCACAGGGTTTAAAATTGAAAAGGATCTCAAGGGCTGATTCTGTCACTCCTGCTAGCCCTCAGTCAAGGTTGTGCTTAATCTAAACCCAAGACTAATATGTTTCTCTAAAATAAAACTATGCCTCATCATTGGTTTGTTAAATACTCTACATTGTCAATAGAGGGATCTCTGAATGAGCATGTAACTCCTGGGTGTTAAAAACCTTCAAAAGCTCTACAGGTTAAATTTCAAATTCTTTAGCATATCATTCAAGGTCCTTCTTAGAGATCTATTCCAAATGACCTTTTTTGGCCTTGCATCTCACTTTTTACCCCCTCTTAATCTACTTTCAGGATTCGCTGAATTGATTCTCTGTTACCTGGACTTATCATAGAAGTCCATGATTGTTTCTTTGCTCACGTTGCTTTGCAGCCTTGAATTACCTAGATGCTCATTTCAAAGATCAGCTCACACGAGCAAAACCTTGAAGGATTTCTCCAAATCCCCAAGGCAAAATTATTCTATTTTCTGTGTTCCCATAGAACCTTGTTCCTATTGCTGTTGCTAACTTTCAACCTGTTATCATAGTGGTGCCCTCACATGCCTCCCATTTTAGATGAGAAGCTTTTTCACAATGGAGACATCACATTTCTCATTGTTCCTCTGAGACCTACCAAAGTCCATAATACAACCATTCATTCTATAAATGTCTTGAAAAATTGTTAAATATTGATGCAGTAGGATAAAGGGCTATGAATTTAATGATGCTCTATTGAATGAATCTTTGTGACATGCCTTGTATCTTTTTCTGGAATATAATGAGGATATAAAAATATTAACATAATCTCTTGCAATGATAATCTCTACAAGTTTATAAAAATCATGGGTCCAAGATTATGCTAAAAATAAAACCCATTTCTTCCATCCCATGTTTATAGCACACTTCTAGTTGGACCGTTATTTGAAAGGCCCCAGATTTAAAGTTAGGTTTAAAGATGTTCTAAAATGTCTTCACTTAAAAAACAAAAAGACAAAATTAATATCTAAGCAATCTTTAATTTCTAGAAATTTATTTTTACAGTGTAGTATAAGCTCTCCTGGTACTGTTAAAGCTATTTCTTTACTTATAATTTTAAAAATAACTTTTCACATTACTAAAAACAAACTACTAAACATTTTTCAATGAAATATAAATTTCTTTATTTGGGTCATTTTTAATGTATCCTAATTTTCCAACTGTTAATTCTTTCCATTTCTGTCCTCTGTCTTCATTTTAAATATGATTCGACATGTGAACCCTAATGTATGCTAGCCAAATACTCATTAAACCCATGACAAAAACATTCTTTAATTTTATCTGCAAATTCTTAGATAATGTGTATCATTTAGGAATTGTGCTCAGTGTGTATCCAGAGTGGCCTAAAGAAATTGGTACTTTATTTTTCCCTCACAAGATATGAAGTCTTGATGTTGGTAGTCTGCTAAGATGACCTCTGTAATGTTACCAGAGATCTTGGATTCTTGCATTCATTCTAGGATTCTTGTACTCAAAATAGCTGTCAGGGTTCCAATCATTATAACTACATTTTGAACAGGCGAAGGTCAAAGAGCATAAATGTGCCAATAGCAGCTAAGAAAGGAGAGATTAGACACTGGCGAGGCACCTTTCAGGTTCAACCACATTCGTCAAAAAATCATGTTTTCTTAACTTTTGGAAAATTGATTTTGTTTCTTACTTATGTTGCAACTTTGTACTATTTTCCAGCTCTTTTAATGTTGAAGTTCTGCCTAACTTATAGCTGTGTAATTAGTTCTTACCTATGCACTTTGTTGCTTTTGTTCACTTTCAGCTTTTAAGCTAGTATTTTTTTGGATTATAACATGATATGTATTTTTTGTGGAATATTTGGAAAATTAGAAAAAATGTAAAAAAGAATATGAAAATTACTTACATTTTTACACCATTTAGACGTAACAATGTTAACATTTCACTGTATAGTGAATTGTTATACTGAATTTATATACATATATAGGCACATGTATTTACATATATGTAAATTATGTCATTATTTACAAAACAACTTTATTCTCCATATTATTTTAGAAATTATTGATATTGTTTTGAAGATTAGATTTTGGAATATAAATAAATATTATTTGGGACATTATTTTTATGACTACATGGCATTTCATCATATGGACAAGCCATAATTTACTTAGTTGATCCCTAATTGTTGCTTTTATGGATTTAAAATTGTAGCATTATAAATGACACGGATGAAGTACTTTGAACGTGAAATTTTGCCTGTATATCTTATTATGTCTTAGAATAACTTGATGGAAGTGGAATGGGTCAAAAAGTAAGGATATGCAAAGGAAAAGGCAGCATTTCTTCAGAAACTAGGAAATAATGAAGCAAAAGGTATAAATTATGCCATGCTTTATTGTGTGTTTACTGGGAATGGAGTGCAGTGAATAAAGCAGAAGTGTTCCAGTTTTCATCCCAGAAGACAGAAGAGCCAATATTTTCTCCTGTTTCTTCAGGTAGCGAGGGGCCAGTGGTGAAGGAGCTGTCATTGAACACTCTTCACGTTGGCTGGTGACTGCTTGGAACAATCATTTTGCCACTTCTTTAAACATTCAATGAAAAAAAATGAAACAAAGGGAACAAAGAATTGACAGACAACCCACTTGAATCTCTCGAGACCCCACTTGAGAACCCACAGGTCTCTGGCCTCTCCTCAACTGGTTGAATAAAAAGGAGGAATGGATGATAGAGTATTCAGTTAGGAAATGCAACAACATGGCACCTAACCATGATGTAGAGACTGGATATGGAATTACGCAGTGATATAAATTGGCTGATGAAGTACAGAGAGGTTATGTTTAAATATTGGTTGTGTACAAATCAGGGGATTCTGATTTGTCATGCCTGTGATCGAAAATATCATGAGATCATTATGAAGTAGTATTTACAATAAGAAAATATGCAAGGGAGTTAGTGGCCTTGAAGGTCAAATTAAAAGAGAGAGAGAGATGGGGGTGACAGGGAGGGAGGAAAAGAGGGAGGACATACTAGGGATGACTTTTGAAGTTATAGATTAATCAGTTTGCTTTGATATTTATGAAAATAATAAGACAAAATGATGATTGATTTCCATACACTTCTAAGAGCAGAAAAAATGGGGTAACAGCCAACATGTCTGAGAGAAGTAAATAACTCAGAGTTAATGTAATTTTCTTCTCTAACACAATAACAGAACTTAAATATGAGAGGACAAAAAGTTCATATATCTTTACTTCGGTAAGGTTTAGTTTTTGTCTGACATGCTGTTCTGATCAACCAGCAAAGAATATGTAGTCTTGTGTAAAGGGAGGCATAGCTTGTTACTTGTCCCTGAATCAGTGACCTGGTAGAGCAAACAAAGTAAGACTAAAAGTGTTTATTGGGGACTTGTACTGAATAATATTTGTAATAATCTCCATAATTTAATAATACAAAATGTGGAATCTACAGACTAGGAAAATTGCTAAATCTATGGGAATTTGCAGGAATCTAAAGTGAATATGGGAATTAAAAAAGAGGGACTGAAATAAGTTGGCTGTGTATGAGAACCATTGATTAAAATGGCATTAAAAATGGTAATATCTAGTGTTGCTGAGACGTTTTGACACATTGTTGCTATAAATTGGTGATGAGACCTGGAATAGTTGTTTGTATTGTTCAGGGGGATTTGTAGTGTTTCCTGCCTTAATTACATCCCTTATCCTGTAATGACCATTTTTTTCTATGTTCTGAGTTTCAAGATTGTAACACATCTTCCTCTATTTGTAAGCATTTTTCTTTTTTTAGCTCAACAAAATGAATAATTATTTTACTAAAGTTGCTTTGTTTCCATGCCTTTCCGTATAAACAATTTTTCATTTCAGTGTTACCTTTTTGTGTAATCTTTTAGAAGACATTTTGAAAGGTAATTAAACTCAACATGTAGAATACCTAGAGTGCATACAACTGAAATGAAGGCATGACCATATGCAGAACTAGGGTCAAGTTGGGGCATCAGCAGGCAACAAACACTTTGTCATGACTATAACTGGCTGCAGTAATTGTAAAATATAACCTGATTTGGAAGATGGTCAAATAGGAAAGTTGGGTACATCAGTTTCATAAAATATGGTTTAACAAGTTTTAACAGTCTCATGCTACTTGACCCAGAAATCCCAGTTCTGGGCATTTTATCCTAAGGAAACAATCACGCTGTGGCAGAAGATATATGCACAAGGACCTTCACAGTAACTTCTTTTTGCCACAAATATTTGATGATAATTTATATTCAGAAAATAAGTAAATGATGGCATGCCATAGCAACAGGATATTAATCAGTGATCTTGCAGTGTAATGATAAAAAAAGATATTGTCACACAAGAAATTCACAATTAAGTAAAAAGAGAATATAATCATAAAATAGTTTGTATGATATAATTATTTAAATAATAGTCTGCGAGTAAGAACAGGATAGTTGTTTCTGGAATTAAGGATGATTTTATATTTTTATGTTTTTTCCTAAATTAAAAAAAACTTGCCACTTTCGATTTAGAAAACTAATTGTATAAGGAAAAACCACTTATATTGCTAATCTTTAAAGACTGATAACCTTTTGTCTTTTTTCTTTAAGTCCTGACTACTTTCACTTATTTTTTGATTACCATTTTATTATTTAACTTTACATTGCTTAATTTTCTGACTATAATATAATGTTGTTTGTGTGATTTATTTTAAAACTCTAAAGTTGGTTTTACATTTGTTCTCATTCTCCTGTATTTTATATATTTAATAGGTATATATCAATGTGTAAATTATGAATAAATATATCTTTCATTTAATCTGAATATATAAATATTAAATATATATGAAGATGTAAATTGTATATACATAAACACTAAATGATATATAGTATGTAAGCTATCACTCTGGATTTCTCACTATACTAATTATTCAAAAACATTTATGATTTTGAATTATTTTTTAACCTTTACTTTTTTTCTGATTTATTTATTTTTAACTTTTAGCTTCAAGGGTATGTGTGCAGATTTGTTATATAGGCTAATTGTGTGTTACAGGGGTTTGGTGTACAGATTATATTGTCACCCAGGTAATAAGCATAGTACCCGATAGGTAGTTTTTTGATCCTCACCTTCTTCCTACCTTTCAGCTTCAAGTAGGACCCAGTGTCTGTTGTTCTCTTCTTAAAAATACTTTCTCGATATATGTTTGAATATTATTCTGTAATTCCTAAATATAAATGTCTAGATTAAAATAAAACCTTTTATTTTTATTTTTACCTTGTTGCATAATTTTAAATTTTGACATACTTTCAAATGTACAGAAAATTTATAAGAATTGTGTTTAAGAATACCTTTTGTTCAGATTCAACAGTTGTTTACAATTTTGCCTCTTTTGCTTCATTTCTGTCTGTGCTTTCTCTCTATGTGCTCATGTGTGCATGCACACGTGTAGACACACCACATTTTTTTTCCTGAATCATTTGAGAATCAGTTGCAGACATCATGCTTCCTTAACTGAAGTGTTTAAGTGTACATTTCCTAAGAAAAAGAATATTGCCCTCTATAACCGGTGTGTAATTTTTAATGCAATATTCACAATATATTACTTGTATTGTGTAACTCCCAGTATATTTCTAGGATCCCAGGTGTATTTTGTTGTCTTATCATTAAAAGTCCTTTTATCTGGAACATTTCCTCAGTCTAATTACTTGGTCATTATAAGAGTTCAGATCAGATATGGAGCGCAATATTCTCAATTTGGCTTTACTGAATGTTTCCTAATGGTTAATTCTGTTTTGCATTTTTGACAGGCATACCACAAAAGTGATGTTGTGTTCTTCTCAAGTGCATCATACTTGGAGGCATGTCGTATTTGTCTGATTATTGATGATGTTGTCTTTGATCAATTTGTTAAGGTGGTCTCTGCCAAGTTTCTCCACTACTAGTTACTATTTTCCCCATTGTAATTAATAAGTAATTTGTGGGAAGATACTTTTAGACTGGAAATACCATGTTTGTCATCACACTTTCATGCGCTGGTGCTGATCCACTAATGTTTTCTTTACTGATTCAGGTACCTAAAATATTATGGTGGTTTTCTAACTCCATCAGTCCATCTATACTTTTTAGTTGACATTATACTCGAAGAAGGAGTTTTCCCTTCTTAATTTCATACTTTATTATATTTTCCTTAATACAGTTTAATCCATTACAATAATTATTTATTTCCCAGTTGTCCCAGATTAAACCAGTAAAAGCCTCTTGAAGCTAGGACCTGTGTCCTTTTGACATATTCCCATCATTTTATAAATGCCTTACTTGCTTTTCTTCCAGAAAAAAATGCCACCTCAAATGTCATGTATTTTTAAGTCTTCTCTCTGTGTCCATGTTCTAATATGCCAGAATAGTTTTTCAGAATTTTCATAGGTTGAGTGGATTTTTTGTGAGTGATTTTCATGTCACTGTTAGGAATTCTGGTATCCTTTACCTTTTTCACAGTTTTTCTGGACCCCATATATCTCTGTATATAGTGGGAGCTTGAAAGATAGCTCTGTTAGAAATTGGTGTCTAATTTTCTGTTTACATACAATCTGACATGTTTATTATTCTCCAGCTTCCAATTGTGCCGAAGGACTTGGATTTGTGTGTTTTAATTTGTTTTTTTAGGTGTATATATTTTTTAGGATATGTGAACAGTTTCAGATTTAGGTGGCTCCTACTACCTGAGTTCCTCAGAATGCCAGTCCATATTTTTATGCATTCTGCAAAATATATTGATATTTGAAGACAATTGCAATATGCCATTGTTTAACCAAAATTTATGGATTGTATAGCTTTACCTTTAGCTGTTAGTGTTATCTTAATCCAGTTTATCCAATTAAATTGAAGTGTTTAATGTATCATAATTATTTTATTACATAGTATGCCTATCAATCCAGGAAATAGCTCTCTGAAAGGCATGTCCATGGTAAATGTAAAATTATTATATGAGGTCTCATTCTTTCACTTGATGATGTACTAATCAATTGTTTGTAATATTTTTCCCTTAGCTATGAAAATTATCAAATATATATTTAAAAAATAAAAAATATTCAAACCCACAAAATTTTAAAACATATATAGATTGAAATAAGATAACCAATCAATAGCATGTGATTATAGGAATCTAGTGAAATGTAGTATTGTAAGTGGTTATTTCAATTGACAAAATACAGTTTTTGAGAATAATAAAGGTAAATTCTTCCTCCAGTTGCACAGCAAAAAAAAAAAAAAAAAAATGATGGCAATTCTTAATAAAGGAGGGCTTGGATCTGGTGGAAAACACTCCAGTATTTAAAATTGTCAGAGTAAAAGATGGTTTGTAAAAGTAGGAAGTAGATGAGGGGCAACCATTTTTCTGTTCCATACCTGAGTCTAGCCTTATAAAAATCTTCACTTTTTCAAAAAACCTACATATAAGGATTTTTTATGAGAAATCTTCTGCTTTTGAATATTATGTAATATTTTAAAAACCATGGTGTGGGACAAACGAAATGTATCAGTAAGCCAGATGTGGTTTTCATGCCCCCAGTTTTCAATCTCTGCTCTGGATGCAACCTAGAAACTAGCAGATATTGCGGTAAGATGAAACCCAGGTCAGAAAAGCTGGTTTTGAGCCCAGGCTTGCCTCCTATTGGCTGTGTCAGATTGAGCAAGTGATGTAATTAGTGTTCACCTCAGTCTTCTTGTCTATGAGGATGAATATGCTAAAGTATGAAGAAATATAGAGATTTACTAATTGTTATAACTTTATAATTGTATTGAATTATATGTGAAGAAGAATATATATCTTTTATTATGTTTTAAGTTTTAAACTTAGAAAATACAAAGTTTCTTGGGCATTTCTTGATTTTTTTCCATTTAACTATAAACTTGCTAACTATATTTAGTTTTCTCTGTTTGAGAGGTTCTGTGTGAAACATTAGCAAAATCATTTATTCATGGGCCAGGTAGAGACCTGTGCAATCCCAATGTCTTTAACATACTAGAGGAAGATAAATTAGATTTTATATTCAAAATGCTTGGTCTGAATATTGAACTGTTGATTTGGTTACAGTTGGTTTTGGTGAACACAAAAGCACAACCTCTGTATTATTTAACTGCTATTTCTGCTTAGTACCATCAAGACCCAGATCTCTCAGCAGAAATTCTGTTTGTTGCTGAGAACTTAATATTCCTTTAAAGATGTTTGGTACTTAAGGGGATTTTTATTTATATTGTTCATAGTCTGTCTGATCTGTCTGAAAGAACACACTGTATTTTTGAAGGGAGATATATACATATATATATATATATATATTTTTTTTTTTTTTTTTTGAGATGGAGTCTCATTCTGTCTCCCAGGCTGGAGTGCAGTGGCACGATCTCATCTCACTGCAACCTCCGCCTCCTGGGTTCAAGTGATGGTCCTGCCTCAGCCTCCCGAGTAGCTGGGACTACAGGCACTCACTACCATGCCTGGCTAATTTTTGTATTTTTAGTAAAGACAGGGTTTCGCCATGTTGGCCAGACTGATATTTTCATTAGGTTGTATTTTATTATATGTCTTTGAACAGTTCTTTTATAACACCGTATATACTCCGTAGTGTAAAACCCATTTAATTTGAAATATTTTGAGATTCAAAATCAATATGCTCTTTCAAAACCCTACTCTAAAACAAATTAATTAATAATGCTTGATTAAATCACTTTCTCCTCATAATCACATTGATATTCTGAAACACAGAGAATGGAACTGTTTGTGTATTTTTGTGGGGTATGCAGGTCGTGTGCCTGCATTTTTCTCAGTGCATGGATTTCAATTAGAATTTAAATGCAGTTACAAAGTGAATTGGTGCAACTCTCTGGATAAATCAAGCCAAATTCTTTTCTAACTCAGTGATCCTCATATGTCAGATAATAGTACCTTTTAAAAACTTGAAATATTTGAATAATCACCTCAACTCTCCACGTATATTTACTTATGAACATCTCATATTTTTGAATTACTTTTATGCCATTCTGCCAATATTCTGGGGGGCACTGTGTTTCTTGCATATAATATGAAGCTAGTATGCAGACTTCTCTTACCTCTTTCTTCAAAGTGTTCTCCTTGACTGATGTTTTGGAATATTTGCATATAGTTGGGAATACTTCTGTTCATCAGCCCATTATACTTTGGTAGATATATGGTCTACATTTTGTAAAACCTATTTAAGCACGTTAAAGTATATAGTGTTTAAGTGTGTGTTGGTCTGTATTAGTTTTTCTGTGATCTTGACAAATTGTTTACTCTTTTGGATTTTTTCTTCCTCCACAGATGCATTTTTGTAGAAGCATTTTGAGGATGAATGTTTGCAAATCATTTTGAAATTGCCAAGTGCCACATACAGTAAGTAATATTTTTATTTTTCTACTCAATTGCAGTCATGTTCGATTAATTTGGCAGACAGTCATGAAAGAACCCATTTCTATTTACAGTCTTTGATATTGTCAACATTGTTAAAGATAAGAAGGTTGTATGTGTGCAGCATTATTTCTGGGGTCTTTATTCTGTTCCATTGTTCTGTGTGTCTCTTTTTGTATCAGTGCCTTGCAGTTTTGGTTACTACAGCCCTGTGGTATAGTTTGAAGTCGGGTAATGTGATACCTCTAGTTTTTTCTTTATGCTTAAGATTGCCTTGGCTATTTTGGCTCTTTTTGGTTTATGAATTATAAAATAGTTTTTCCTAATTATATGAACAATATCGTTTGCAGTTTGATAGGAATAGTATTGAATCTGTAAATTGCTTTGGACGTCATGACCATTTTATCAATCTTGATTCTTCCTGTCCATGAGCATGGGATGTTTTTCTATTTGTGTCATGTCTAATTTCTTTGACCAGTGTTTTGTTGAGAACTTTCTCCTCCTTGGTTAGCTGTATTCCTAGGTATTTTATTCTTTTGGGGGTTACTGTGAGTGGGATTGTGTTCTCGTTTTGCTGTCAGGCTAGAAATTGTTGTTGTAGAGAAATATACCTCTGCCCTGATGAAGTGTTCTGGCCAACACTACCCATCAGAGTAAATGAGTATTTTGTGACTGAATTTCAAATTTAAAAAAATAAGAATTGCCTTATATTCAGTGTCAATAGAACCAATCAGCAACCCAAAATGAGTTGCCTTGAACAAAATGCTATTTGATTAGAGAAAACTTAAAAATATATAACAGCTCCTCCCCTAATGGCAGATATAATACCTTACTCTTCTATTATACTTTTCAGCATTTGCAGTGGCTGACCACAGCCTTTTCTTGCACTCCTTTTTAGTTGCTTTTTGCAGTGAAGAAGAGATTGCAATGAAGGGTTGAGCTTGACTTACCATTCTCTTCCCTCTTTATTATCTTCAGATGTGTAGTGTTCATAGTACTATCCTTTACATCACACTGGCCACATTGATGCTTTCCCTTTTGGACTCTGGTGATCTTCAAATTCTTTCACGTTAGCCATCCATTGGTCCTAACCCCTGTACACTTTATTTCTTGAAACAAATCATCAGCAACATTTTATCTGGGGACATTTTCAGAATTACTAGTATTTAAAAGATTATTGCTCTAAAATTGAATGGATTAAATCGTTCATGCTCCCACACTACTTTTGGTTTTGAGACTGAAGGATTTACAGAGGGATGAGAATAAGAGATGAAGTCTCCATTTCTAGATTTGACCTCTGGAAGACAAAGCTAGTGATTTTGTTTAGTAATTTTATTTCCTTTGGTTCAATTAATAGTCCATGCTCCTAAATGTGAGAGGTACTGTGTTAGTAAGGACTAGAGTAAGTGGGAGAGAAAGACAAAAAGAACTCTCAAGGAAACTTTGTCATTAGTTTGAGGAAACTATTTTTCCTCAAACTAGGAAAAAGGTATTTTTAAATGTTATTCTGGTGATATCTTCAAACTGGATTGCAGTTGGAAGACTTGTTGCAAAAAGATCAATTTTTAAGCATTTGTAGAGGGATAAGAATGAAGGGATGAGGGCAAGACCTAAGGTCATAGCAGTGGGGATGGACTGGCAGGGGTTGGAGCATGTGAGATTTATTTGGAAGTAAACAGGTTCAGGGAGTAATAGTAATAATTAATGCTTGTGCAGGATTCACTGAGTACCAGGGTTGTTTTAAATGTTAATGACTAATGTCATCCCCATTTTGTGCAAGAGGAAACTGAGAGAGGCATCATTTAAGCAAATTGTCCCAGGTCACAAAAGTAAAACATACCATGCCTGACATTTGGGGCCATTTAGTCAAGCTCCAGAGTCATTGCAGTTTACCAGTGTACCATCATTTATCTAAAAAAATAACTGAAGCTTCCAGGATTACTGAGCTGGAAAATGATGTTGCCAATAATCAGAGAAACATATTTTGTTTACAGAGTTTACCCTTTCTTTAGATAGGTTTTTGGATAGCCAGAAAAATCTTGACCTTTAGGGAGAAATGTACCTTATGGTTAGTGATAAATCTCTTGTATATATTCACTTGTTGGGCAATAGCAACAGTAATTTATTATATTATTCAATTATAAGTTACGATAGTAAACATGTCATCTTAATCTGATTTGTCTTCCTTCCTTAGTAGAACTTAAAAATGAAACAAGGATAGAGTGGTAAAAAAAAAGATTTTGTATCTTGGGTCCGTAAAAGAACGCATTTTAAAGTTAGTTTACCGATCATGCAAAACTAATTTTGACGAGGGAAAAACGTAACACTCAGCATATGGAGTATCTCTTTTTCTATTAGGTTAATGTAAAAGTAATTGCATTTTTGCCATTACTTTGCAAAAACTGCAATTACTTTTGCATCAACCTAATATACTGGAGAAGTAGAATAATATACTGCTTAAGACCATGGTCTCCAGGACCATTCTGCTTCATTGATTCATGTTCCAAGTAAGGCCCATTTGCTGTGTGACTTTGTGTCAATTATTGATGCTCTCTGTGCGTCAGCCTCTGTACCTTCAAAATGTGTTATTAATAGTACTGTGTCTTCTGGATATTGTAAAGCTTAAATGAGATAAATCACCTAAATGGCTCTTGGTAGCAGCGAATTTTAAATAAAAGTTATGTTTATTAAAATTTATCTCAGGTAACAGTTTTCTATTTTTCAATTTCACCTACATAATTATTACTCTTTTAAGCTTTTTGCTTTGAATTTTTACGCATTAAGGAGACAGAGCAATGATTTTCACAAGCAAAGACCCATGTAACCATCCCACAGGTCAAGAAATAGAACAATTGCTGCATCTCCAATCCTACTTTTTCTGCCTGCCAGCCATTACCTCCTTTCCATCAGTTTCCCGTGGATGACATTATTCCTGATATTTGTGGGAATTACTTCCTTGCTTTTCATTATAGTTTTAACTTTAAATAATGTATCCTTATATGCAAAATATTGGTTTAGCCTGATTTTTAAATTAATGTACATAATATTCATATGACACACATTCTTCAGTGTATGGTGTCCTTTTCTGAATGTATGTTTGTTTTTAAGTTTCTTTAATGTTTTTGTGTGGTTCATTAATTTTCATTGCTATATAGTATTCCATTGTATAGAAATACTACAGAATATTTATTCATTGTATTGTTGATGGACATTTGTGCTCTTTCTAGGTTTGGGCCATTACCCAAATGTAATGCTGCCATAAACATTCTTTTAAATGTGTTTTTGCTAAATATGTACATATATTTCTCTTGAATATATACTTAGCAATGGAATTTCTTAGTCATATTGCATGCAATCTTTCAACTTTAGTAGATACTACCAGACAGTATTCCAAAGTAACTATACTAATTTCACTTCATTCATTAGTGTGTAAGAGTTTCCATTGTTTCATCTTTACCAAAGATTAGTATAATCATTTCTTTTAATTTTAGCCATTCTGGTGAGAGTTTGGTTTACATTTTCTTGTTGATTAATATGATTATGTCATGTAGCTTAATAGCCATGAACATATTATTGTCTATAAATTTCCTGTTCATATGTGTATTTTTCTATTGTGTTGATTTTTAAAATTGTTAATATTCACAAGTTAGTTACACTAGATTAAGAGCCTCCCATCAGTTAAATATGCTGCAAAGTTCTCCTTTTCTATGATTTGGTTTTTCAATTTCTTAATGAGGTTTTTTTGATGTTCCTAATTTTAATTTTAATCATTATATCACCTCATTATGTTTATATCTTTCCACTTGCCTTCATTTTTGTGAGTGATGTGAGGTAGAAGTCAAGTTCTAGATATCCAGTTGTTATAGAATCATACTGGACAATTCTCTCCTTCGCCCACTGTTCTTTAATGTCATATTTACTATAAATTAAATTTCTATATATGTCTGGGTCTTTTAGGAGCCAACTTCTATTTAATTGGATTATTAGTCTCTTCTTACCACTTATAACACTATTTTAACTATGGCTACTTTTTAAATATTCTTAATATCTATTAAAACAAGTTCTTCTACCACATGTTATTCAAAGGCATGTTGACTTTGCCTTCTTTCATGTAAATTTTAGAATTACTTTGTCAAGTTAACAAGAATAATTGTTTAGATTTTAGTTAGAATTGCATTCAATCTATTGTTAAGTAAATTTTTAAAGAGCTGGTGTAATTACAATATTAACTGATTTCATTTATGAACATAATATATACAGCATTTCCTCCTTATTAACTGGGGACACATTCCAAGATCCCCAGTGGATGCCTGAAACTGCAAATAGTACTAAACCTTATATATAGACTATGGTTTTTTCTATATATACATACCTCTGATAAAGTTTAATTTATAACTTAGGCACAGGAAGAAATTAACAACAACTAATAATAAAATAGAACAATTATAACAATATACTGTAATAAAAGTTATGTGAATATAGTCTCCTTGTCTCTCAAAGTATGTTATTGTACTGTACTTAACCTGCTTCTTGTGATGATGTGAGATAATACAATGCCTACATGATGAGATGAAGTCTTGTGAATGATTTTGGTCATAACTTTCATAGTTTGAGGTGCAACAGCAAAACTAACATAAATCTCTTGTTCTTTCTTCACAATTTCAAGGACAGAAGAAGCATTCTTACCATAGAGCTTAGCAACGTGAGCAAACAACTTTTTCCCTTTATTATTTTCTTAAAGGAAACACTTTATGGCTTCTCTTTGGCATATTCAAATTGCCAACATCACCAGTCTTGTAATTTGGGTCCATTATTAAGTAATATAACGGTGACTTGAATACAAACACTGTGATAACTTTAGCAATCAATCTGATAACCGATATGGCTACTAAGTGGCTATTGGGTGGGTTGTGAATGTAGCATGAGGATGCTGGACAAAGGAATGATTAAAGTCCTAGGAGGAATAGAGCAGAGCCATGGGAAATTTCATCAAGCTACACAGAACAGCACACCATTTAAAATTATAAATTGTTTATTTCTGGAATTTTCCATTTAATATTTTTGGACCACAGTTGACGATGAGTAACTGGAACCATGGAAGGCAAAACCATAAGTAAGGGGGGACTTATTTATTTTGATCTTTTAGTTTCTCTTAATCCCATGTCTGGTTGTTTTTTTTTAATGTTGAGTTCAAGCTAATTTTTCTTTTTTTCTTTTTTTTTAAATTTTATTATTATTATACTTTAAGTTTTAGGGTACATGTGCACAATGTGCAGGTTTGTTACATATGTATACATGTGCCATGTTGGTGTGCTGCACCTATTAACTCATCATTTAGCATTAGGTATATCTCCTAATGCTATCCCTCCCCCCTCCCCCCACTCCACAACAGTCCCCAGAGTGTGATGTTCCCCTTCCTGTGTCCATGTGTTCTCATTATTCAATTCCCACCTATGAGTGAGAACATGCAGTGTTTGGTTTTTTGTCCTTGTGATAGTTTGCTGAGAATTATGGTTTCCAGTTTCATCCATGTCCCTACAAAGGACACGAACTCATCATTTTTTATGGCTGCATAGTATTCCATGGTGTATATGTGCCACATTTTCTTAATCCAGTCTATCGTTGTTGGACATTTGGGTTGGTTCCAAGTCTTTGCTATTGTGAATAGTGCTGCAATAAACATACGTGTGCATGTGTCTTTATAGCAGCATGATTTATAATCCTTTGGGTATATACCCAGTAATGGGATGGCTGGGTCAAATGGTATTTCTAGTTCTAGATCCCTGAGGAATCGCCACACTGACTTCCACAATGGCTGAACTAGTTTACAGTCCCACCAACAGTGTAAAAGTGTTCCTATTTCTCCACATCCTCTCCAGCACCTGTTGTTTCCTGACTTTTTAATGATCGCCATTCTAACTGGTGTGAGATGGTATCTCATTGTGGTTTTGATTTGCATTTCTCTGATGGCCAGTGATGATGAGCGTTTTTTCATGTGTTTTTTGGCTGCATAAATGTCTTCTTTTGAGAAGTGTCTGTTCATATCCTTTGCCCAGTTTTTGATGGGGTTGTTTGTTTTTTTCTTGTAAATTTGTTTGAGTTCATTGTAGATTCTGGATATTAGCCCTTTGTCAGATGAGTAGGTTGCGAAAATTTTCTCCCATTTTGTAGGTTGCCTTTTCACTCTGATGGTAGTTTCTTTTGCTGTGCAGAAGGGTTTTTTGTTTAGAGGTCTTATGTATTTTGGTTAATTTGTGCCTAGAAGTTTAATGCAGTTTAATATTAAGATTATATATATACACACACACATATAATTATATACATATGTATCATATACATATAATTACATACATAATAATACATACATATTATATACACTTTTTTAACTTTTATTTTAGGTTTAGGGGTACATGAGCAGGTTTGTTATGTAGGTAAACTTGTGTCATGGGGGTTTGTTGTACAGATTATTTTGTCACTGGAATACTAAGCCTCGTACCTAATGGTTATTTTTTTCTGTTCCTCTACCTCCTGCCACCCTCTATCCTAAGGTAGAGTTCATTGTCTGTTTTTCCCTTCTTTGTGTCCATGTGTTCTGATCACTTAGCCTCCACTTACAAATGAGAACATGTGGTATTTGTTTTCT
This sequence comes from Homo sapiens, assembly GCF_000001405.40. Classification (NCBI taxonomy): domain Eukaryota; kingdom Metazoa; phylum Chordata; class Mammalia; order Primates; family Hominidae; genus Homo; species Homo sapiens. The sequence goes on from NC_000002.12 coordinate 153,907,666, forward strand.
GTTCCTGCCTTGGTTTGCTAAGGATGATGGCCTCCAGCTCCATCCATGTTACTGCAAAGGATATGATCTAATTTTTTTGTGTGTGTGGCTGTATAGTTTTCCATAGTGTATATGTGCCACATTTTCTTTATCCATTCTACCATTGATGGGCATTTAGGTTGATTCCATATCTTTGTCATTGTGAATAGTGCTGCAATTAACATATGTGTGCATGTGTCTTTATGGTAGGATAATTTATATTCCTTTATGTATATACCCAGTAATGGGATTGCTGGGTTGAATGGTAATTTTGTTTTTAACTCTTTGAGGAATCATGACATTGCTTTCCACAATAGTTGAACTAATTTACACTCCCACCAGCAAGCAGTGTGTAAGTGTTCCCTTTCGCCACAACCTTGTCTGTTCTGTTATTTGACTTTTTCATAATAGCCATTCTGACTGGTGTAAGATGGTATCTCATGGTGGTTTTGGTTTCCATTTCTCTAATGATCAGTGATAGTGAGCTTTTTCATGTGATTGTTTGCCACATTTATGAAAAGTGTTGGTTCATGTCCTCCGCCCACTGTTTAATGGGGTTGTTTACTTTTTCATTGTAATTTAAGTTCCTTATAGATGCTGGATATTAGAGCTTTGTCAGATGCATAGTTTGCATATATATTTCCCATTCTATAGGTTGTCTGCTTACTCTGTTGATAGTTTCTTTTTCTGCACAGAAGCTCTTCAGTTGAGTTAGATCCCATTTGTCAATTTTTGCTTTTGTTGCAATTGCTTTTGGTGTTTTTGTCGTGAAACCTTTAACAGGTTCTTCATCCAGAATGGTATTTTCTAGGTTGTCTTCCAGAGTTTTTATAGTTTTGGGTTTTACATTTAAGTCTTTAATCCATCTTGAGTTGATTTTTCTATGTGGTATAAAGAAGGAGTCCAGTTTCAATCTTCTGCATATGGCTAGCCTGTTATCCAAGCACACTCCCATTGAATAGGGAGTCCATTCCTCATTGCTTTCTTTTGTTGACTTTGTGGAAGACCAGATGGTTGTAGGTGTGCAGCCTTAATTCTGGGCTCTCTATTCTATTCCATTGGCCTATATGTCTGCCTTTGTACCAGTACCATGCCATTTTTTTATTGTAGCTCTGTAGTATAGTTTGAAGTTGGTAACATAATGCGTCCAACTTTGTTCTTTTTGCTGAGATATCTTGCCTTGGATATTTGGGCTCTTTTTTGGTTCCATATGAATTTTAAAATATATTTTTCTAGTTCTGCCAATAATGTTATTTATAGTTTGATAGGGATAGCATTGAATCTATAAATTGCTTTGGGCAGTATGGCCATTTTAATGATATTGATTCCTCCTATCCATGAGATCCATGAACATGGAGTGTTTTTCTATTTGTTTGTGTCATCTCTGATTGCTTTGAGCAGTGTTTTGTGATTCTCATTGTAGAGATCTTTCACCTCCCTGGTTAACTATATTCCTAGGTATTTTGTCACAGTTGTGAATGGGATTGCTTTCCTGACTTGGTTCTCAGCTTGGCTGTCATTGCCATATAGGATTTTTAATGTGATTTTTGTACATTTTTTGCTAGTTTGTACAGATTTTGCTAGTAATTTTTGTACATTGACTTTTTATCCTGAAACTTTGCTGAGGTTTATCAGTTTAAGGAGCTTTCAAGCTGAGATTGTGGGGTTTTCTAGATACAGAAACACATCATCTGCAAACAGGAATAGTTTGACTCCCTTTCTTTCTGTATGTATATGCTTTATTTCTTTCTCTTGATGGATCTCTGTGGCCAGGACTTTCAATACTATGTTTAATAGGAGTGGTGAGAGGGGGCATCCTTGTCTTGTGTGGCTTTTCAAGGGTAATGCTTTTGCCCATTTATGTGATGTTTGCTGTGGTTTTGTCATAGATGGCTCTTACTATTTTGAGGTATGTTCCTTCAATATGTAGCTTGTTGAGAGTTTTTAACATGAAGGGATGTTGAATTTTGTCAAACATCTTTTCAGCTTCTATTGCAATAAACATGTGGTTTTGACTTTTACCTCTGTTTTTGTAATGAATTACATTTATTGATTTGCATATGTTGAATCAACCTTGCATTCCAGGGATAAAGCCTACTTGATCATGGTGGATTAGCTTTTTGATGGCACTGCTGGATTTGGTTTGCTGGTATTTTGTTGAGGATTTTTTAATCTATCCTCATCAAGAATTTTGGCCTGAAGTTTTCTCTTTTGGTTGTGTCACTGCAAGGTTTTGGTATCAGGATGATGCTGGCCTCATAGAATGAGTTGGGGAGGAGTCCCTCTTCCTCATTTTTTTGGAATAATTGCACTAGGAATGGTACCAGCCCTTCTTTGTATGTCTGGTAGACTTTGTCGGTGAATCCTTCTGGCCCTGGCTAGGCTTTTTTTTTTTTGGTTGGTAGACTATTTATTACTGATTCAATTTCAGAATTCATTATTGGTCTGTTCATGGATTCAGTTTCTTCCTGGTTTAGTCATGGGAGGGTATATGTGCTCAGGTATCTATCCATTTCATGTTGATTTTTGAGTTTGTGTGAATAGAGGTATTCGTAGTAGTCTCTGATGGTTATATATGTGTGTTTCTGTAGGGATAGTGGTTATTGCCTTTGTCATTTCTGATTGTGTTTATCTTCTATCTTTTTCTCTTTATTAGCCTAGCTAGTTTCTATCCATCTTTTTAATTTTCTCAAAATGCCAACTCCTGGATTCATTGATCTTTTGAATGGTTTTTTTATGTGTCAATCTCTTTCAGTTCAGCATTGATTATGTTTGTTTCTGGTCTTCTGCTAGCTTTGGAGTTGATTTCTTCTTGCTTCTCTACTTCTTTTATTTGTGATGGTGGGTTGTTAATTTGAGATCTTTCTAAGTTTTTGATGTGGGCATTTTGTGCTTCAAATTTTCATCTTAACACCGCCTTATCTGTGTCCCAGAGATCCTAGTACGTTGTAGCTTTGTTCTTATTAGTTTCAAAGACCTTCTTGATTTCTGTCTTAATTTCATTATTTACCCCAAATCATTCTGAAGCAGGTTAATTTCCATGTAATTGTATGGTTTTGAGTGATTTTCTTGAATTCTCTTTTTTTGTGTGCTGTTGTCTGAGAGAGTAGTTGCTATGATTTCAGTTCTTTTGCATTTGCTGATTGTTTTATGTCCTATTGTGTGGTTGATTTTAGTGTATGTGCCATGTGGCAATGAGAATAATGTATATTCTGTTGTTTTTGGATGGAGAGTCCTATAGGTATCTATCAGGTCCATTTGGTCCTTTTGAGTTCAAGTCCTAAATGTCTTTGCTAACTTTCCGCCTTGATGATCTGTCCAGTACTGTCAGTGGAGTGTTGAAATCTCCCACTATTATTGCATGGAAGTCGAAATTTCCTTGAAGGTCACTAAGAACTTCCTTTGTGAATCTGGATGCTTCTCAGTTGGGTGTATATACGTTTAGAATAGTCAGGTCTTGTCAACCTGAATCCTTTACCATTATGTAATGCCCTCTTTTGATCTTTGTTGATTTAAAGTCTGCTTTGCCTAAAATTAGGATTGTAACCCTAGTGTTTTTATGTTTTCCATTTGCTTGGTAGACATTTCCCCATCCCTTAATTTTGAGCCTGTGAGTGTCATTGTATGTGTGATAGGTCTCTTGAAGACAGCATACCACTGAGTCTTGCTTCTTTATTCACCTTGCCACTCTGTGTCTTTTACTTGGAGCATTTAGCTTCTTATATTCAATGTTAGCATTGATATGTGTGGATTTGACCCTGTCGCAGTGTTTTTAGCTAGTTTTTATGCAGATTTGTTTTTATAGTTACTTTATAGTGCCACTTGTCTGTGTACTTAAATGTGTTTCTGTAGCGGCTGGTAACAGTCTTTCCTTTCCATATTTAGTGCTTTTTTCAGGAGCTCTTATAAGCGAGTTTGGTGGTAATGATTTCCCTTAGCATTTGCCTGTCTGAAAAGCATCTTATTTCTCCTTCGCTTATGAAGCTTAGTTTGTTTGTATATGAAATTCTTGGTCAGAATTTATCTTTTTGTAAGAATGTTGAATATAGACCCCCAATCTCTTCTTGCTTGTAGTGCTGTTTCTGAGAAGTTGGCTGTTAGTCTGATGGGCTTCCTTTTGTGGGTGACCTGTCCTTTGTCTCTTGGTGCCTTTATCATTTTTTATTTCAGCCTTGGAGAATATGATGATTATGTGTCTTGGGGATGGTCTTCCTGTGAAGTATTTTGTGGGGGTTCTCTGCATTTCCTGAATTTGAATGTTGGCCTCCTTGGCTAGATAGGGGAAATTCTTATGGATGATAACCTGAATCATGCTTCCCAAGTTGCTTCCATTCTGCTTATCTCTTTCAGGGATGTCAATGTCATAGATTTGGTCTCTTTATATAATCCCATATTTCTCTGAGGTTTGGTTTGTTCCTTTTTATTCTTTTTTCTTTATTCTTGTCTGACTGTATTATTTCAGAAAGTCAGTATTCAGGCTCTGAAATTCTTTACTCAGCTTGGTCTAATCTGTTGCTTTTACTTGCTATTGCGTTATGAAATTCTTGTAGTGTTTTTTTCAGCTCTATAAGGTCAGCTTCATGCTTTTCTATACTGGCTATTTTGTCTATCAGATTCTGTGTCATTTTATTATGATTCTTAGTTTCCTTAGATTGGGTTTCAGTGTTTTCATGAATCTTGAAAATCTTCATTCTTATCCTTATTCTGAATTCTATTTCTGTCATTTCAGCCATCTGACCTCAGTTAACAACTCTTCTTGGAGAACTAGGGTGGTCATTTGGAGAAAAGAAGACACTCTTGCTTTTTTTGAGCTGTCAGAGTTCTTGTGCTGGTTCTTTCTCATCTTTGTGGGTCTGCTGTTCCTTCAGTATTTGAAGTTCCTATCATTTAGATGTTTTTTTTTCTTTTATCCTATTTAATGACCTTGGGGGTTTAATTGTGGTATAAGGTGTATTCAGTCAATTGGATTCATTTCTGCAAGATTTTAGGGAGTCAAGGCTTAGCTCAGGACTCCCGGACTGTGTTTTCTAATTCTGGGTGACTCTTATTGGGCACTGGCTTTGTTTTCTGGCCCCTCATGGTTAGGAACCTGTTGCACAGGATAGGCTGAAATGTTCCTGAACTGCTGGTCACAATACTTGTATGCATGGTGCCAGCCAAAGCTCTTTGTAGGGCAGTGGCAGTGGAATCTATCCTCATTTGCATGTGCTAGCAACAGTGGCAGCAGCAGCATGGCCAAGTGCACACTTGTCAGCTGTGGCAGGGTGGTAGTGGGTGCTGGGTAGCCAGCAGGTGTTTGCAGCAGTGGTGATGGCAGTATTACTCAGGGAGACAGGGGTCCTCCACTGGCAACTGTGCATGTGTTTATGCCAGTGTTGGTGTTAGCATGGTGGTGGGGGTGCTGGTGGGCGCAGGACTGTGCATGCCCTCTATGCATGTTCACACTGGTGGTGGTGGCTGCCTAGGTTGTGGGCAAGCTGTCTGTTTTCCCTGCCTAGTTTCACTTTGGCAGCAGTGTCAGTGCAAGTGGTGGGTGCTGCTGGCAGCAGGGCAGGCGGCTTTCATGCCTGCCAATGCTCTGAGGACAATGGCAATGTGACAGGTGGGGTGGGGGGCAGCATGCATCCATGTCAACAGCAGTGGTATAGCAGGGTGCGTGCACACACATATGGTGGCAGGGAAAGGAAGGGAAGGTTTGTCTGTGCACACATGTCCTGTCTCATGGGCAAAACAGCCCTTCAGAGTTCAGGTTGGACAGTTCCCCTAAGGCTAAAGTCTCCTATGGAAGCAAGTTGAGCCCAGGGGAATGGGCAGCCCTGACCATGCTCCGCTACAGACACTCCAACACCAAATCCTCTGGGCTCTGCATTGGCTGGAGTTCTGGCTCTAACACTTTTCTAAGTTACTCTTTCTGCCAACTGAAGGGTCCATGGTGGTAGAGGGGTTTCCTACTGCTGGGATTCCAGAGGGCTGTGATGAGAGCAGCTTGCTCCTTGTGTGTTCAACTCCTACTTTCTGCAGGAGTTCTTCGGGGCCAGGAATAAGTCCTGGTGAACGGCAGTCCCATGCAGGGTGCCCAGTCCCCTCTCCCTTCAGTCCAGCATCTGTGTCTTCCCTCCATCTGTTCTCAATGCCTTGCCTCTGAAGATATGCTCAGAGGACTCCAGTCTTTCTGATGTTCTGGTCCCTTGGAGGGAGATGTTCCTCCTAGCTGTGTCTAGTTGGCCATCTTGGGGTAGGCAAGATATATCTTAAAAAATTATTTTCTCTTTGTTCCTTGTATAAAAATACATGTTTAAATATCGCCCTTGCATATAGTAGATTGTAAACTCATTAATTCTAGTGTGTTTTTCAGTGCATTATTTTGAATTTTCTATGTAAACATCCATGTTGTCTGTGAAGAAAGATAGTATTACTTAACACTTTCAAAATCTTATAGCTTTATTGTATTTTCTGTGTCTTATTGACTTGGCTAGAATGTCCAGAACAATGCTGAATGAACACAGGAAGAATGAACATTCTGCTCTTGTTCACAAATCAAAGAGAACACTGTCCATCATTTTACTGTTAAGAATGATGTCCTTGAGGTCAGGAGTTCGAGACCAGTCTGGCCAACACAGTGAAACCCCGTCTCTACTAAAAATACAAAAAACTAGTCGAGTGTGGTGGTGTGTGCCTGTAGTCCCAGCTACCTGGGAGGCTGAAGCAGGAGAATCATATGAGCCCAGGAGGCAAAGTTACAGTGAGCTGAGATCACGCCATTGCACTCCAGCCTGGGCAAAAGTGCGAGTCTCCGTCTCAAAAAAAAAAAAAAAAAAGATGTTTGCTGTATTATTTTGAGAAAATAGCATATATTTGATTGAGAGAATCTAGTTTTATTCTGATTTTGTTAGGATTCTTAATTATAGTTAGGTTTTTAATTTTTATCAAATGCTTCTGCCTGTATTGAGATTTTCAAATTATCTCAAACCTATTGAGATTATCAAATTATCTCTTTTACTTTCTTATCCGATGATTTATATTGATATTATTCCACCCCCCAACCCCCGACAGGCTTCTTTGCTTAGTATGGTACCTGGGGCACATGATAGTTTTTTCAGTGTTTTTTTTCCAACCCTTTCCGTCTTCCTTGCATGTTTGCATAGGGGAGGAAACCTCTTATTACATTCTGGACAATCCTCCAGTGGTAAATTGCTGTTGCATACTAATATACTACTCCTGGTGGGGGACAGGAGGGTGCCTGGATCCTGTTCTCCAGTCTTTATCTTAGACATGGCCTGTGCACCTGTGCCTTAGATGTATGGCTCTTACACAATACCTACCCATTCCTCCCATGGGGCCCAAGCTCCTCCTGGAGTCTGTGGGATTCATGAGTGGGAGAGGTGTCCTGCTCTTCCCCCAGTGTTAGCAGACCTCTGTTTTATGTTAGCTTAAGATTCTGGGCACAAGAAAGTTACCTGCCCATTCAGCAAGGTTTGATGGATCATTCTACCCCTTCCTGAGAAACTATAGCTCTTTTCCAGGGTGTTGGGAATATGAGGATTTTTTTCACCCTAAAAGGCTAAATTTTGCTTTGTATTAGAGAAAATTTTGGGGAATTGGTAAGGATTTTGTGACTTTATACCTCCAAAGAGTTCTCACTGGTCTCTACTCTGGACTGAATCTTTCCTCATAAAGAAGTTTATGAATGAACACATGTTTATTTGTATATAGGGGATTCCTGGGTGTCTACACTGTTCTGTTGGCCAATTCTGATCCTTAAGTATTTGTTACACTTTTAGCTGTTTTCTTCTTACCTACTTTCATGGTGACTACCTCATTCTCTCTTATTCTGTTAAAAGTGAAATAGTTCATATGTCCTGTCACTCCTCAGAGTGGCTGTTACCCTCTGAAATTTTGTTCATCTCTTTGCCTGGTGACCCCTGCCCTCTGCATAGAGGAAGCCTGATCATTATCATCATGGGCTGAAATTATAGCTCCTAGATCATTAGGAATCTAGTCTCCTTTTGTAGTTCTTTTCCACAGTCTTAGCTACATAACTTCATCCACAAGAGTTTTCCAGTAGTTTGAGATGACTTCTGCAGCCTAGCCATCACATTTGTGTTCTATGCAGCAAGAATGAAAAAAAAATGCAATGACAAATGAGGCATGCAGCCAGGTGATTTACCCCTCATCAAAGAGATTACCTGGAAACTCTTTCTTATATTTTCTACCTACCCATCATTACTCTTAGTTGTAAAGGAGACTGTTGCACGTAGTGTTGTAGCTGCACACACAACTGTTTTGTTGGTTACCTAGTAAGGATGAAGGGAAAGATAGATATTTAGTAAGCTCTTAGTGGTCATAGTCACAAGGAGAGGATAGGAATTACATTGAGGTGATCTGATCTTTTCTTTTCTTTTTCCTTCCTTCCTTCTGTCCTTCCTTCCTCCCTTCCTTCCTTCGTTCCTTCCTTCCTTCCTTCCTTCCTTTTTTCTTTTTCTTTTTTTTTTTTTATAAGGTCTTGCTCTGTCACCCAAGCTGGAGTGCAGTGGCACAATCATAGCTCACTGCAGCCTTGACCTCTTGTACTCAAGCAATTCCCTTCCTCGGCCTCCTGAGTATCCGGGATGATTGGTGTGTGGCGTTGTGCCTGGCTAATTTTTAAATTTTTAGTAGCAATGAGGTCTCACTATGTTGCCCAGGCTGGTCTCGAACTCCTGGCTTCAAACGATCCTCCTGCCTCAGCCTCCCAAACTGCTGGGATTACAGGTACAAGTCACTGTGCCCAGCCTAGGTAATCCGATTTTTGAGGCAGGATGGAGTGAGTTAAAATGCACAGGTTCTAACATCATACAGAACTATTCTGATCTCAGTTCAGCAAATACTAGCTGTGATACCTTGAGCAAGGTTTTTATTTGGTTATACCTCCTCAGCTGTAAAAGGGCATGATATAACTGTGTTTAAATGTTTCGGTGTGGATAGAATATGATAATATATTCAAAGGGTTCATTGCATAGGAAATAGTCAAGAAATGGTATATTTAGTTTACCTATCTTATATTAGCATAAATTCAGTTTAAGAGAGGACGGTGTCTATAAATGACTAATACAGATTGATAGAGTACAAAGGCAACTAACCTTGTTTCTCTTGAGTAGAGCTTTACCTTTTAGATGGGATTGAGTCTCAATTTCTGTTCTTTGATGTATAATTTCTATACTTTGAATTAAACTGAAAGATTGCTCAAAGTTAAGGTCTATGATAGCAGCACTTTATGTAATGTCAAACCAAGAAATAGATAAGAATTTAAAGGTTTCTCTTTAACCTTTGCCATTGGTAAGTTATGAAACTGACGAAAGAAATTATACACCTCTGGGCCTCAGTTTATTCAGCTGACAAGTCACTTAGTTGATGAGATGACCTCTACCACCTATTTAACAGCTTTAAAACACCGTAATTCTGTGCATTTTTTTTTTGCCTAACACAGATTCTTTTGCCAAAAGAAATATCCTTGTCTCTGTTTGTGTCTGTGTGTATGTATTTATTCATATTGCCATCATCTTTAAAATATCTTGAATATACCATATGTGTATTAAGATGTGTAAAGTACACTAATATTAAATATATGGATTGATGGGTTTTTACGTAGTTATATGCCTGCATTACTGCTACCTATAGCGGTAATATAGAATCAGGAACACACAGAATATTTCTAACCCCCAATAACTTCCCTTTACATCTCTTCCCCATCAATAACCTTCTGGTTTTTATTATTTTTTATTTTGACTTTATGATAATATAATTTGAAAAAGGTATGCATTATTTTGAGGGGTAATTCAAACTTAAAAATTTTTCTAGAAGTATTAACAATTATGATAAAACCAAAAACGTCTAAATAATGCTGAAAAGTGCAATAAACTATAACAATGATGTTATAAGTAATAAACTTAATTGCACATCCACTGAAATGAAACAGAATTGCAGTGTGAAAAATCTCTTAAAATTCTATCCAAATCTCCCACCTGTAAGCCAAAAAATAGAGCTACCACACAGGCTGGTGAGTATTCTATCAGTCATGTTGCCAGGCAACCTTAGTCAGTATGAGAGACACCCAATTGAGCAGCCTTGGAGTCAAACTAAAAGGTATCTTGGAAACAAGGGTTCAACTGATAGAGAGGGAGGATAGAAGCAGAGAGAGAGAGAAAAAAGAGGCAGAATGTCAATTAGGCAGTTATCTGTTAATCATGACCACAGTTTTTTTTTTTTTCTAGTAAAATGCAGCTAGCTTACAGCAAAATTACTTGGATTTCTACTTCCTTCTCTCTGTTTTCTCCTGCATGTACACATGTGTGAGTGCAGAGGTTTGGCAAGATGTATCATCATTACTTTTTTGGAGAGAAGGATGTTCAAAAGCATTTTTAGCATACTCAAAACATGTTAACTAGGAGTTCATTGAGATTTTATTAATTCAGGATTATGTTTGATTCAGCCAAGTTTAAAATAATTAATCTGATTTTTAAATTGAAATACTGTGTTTGAAAAATTGGGAATACAAAGTAAAAATATCTTTCTACCACTTGAACTGAAATCCTTGGAAGGTAAAAGAAATGGAAAGGGAGATGCTCCTAATTCTCTCTGGGTGAACTTCGGTAGAGATAACATACACCAATCAAACAGGGTGAGAATTTGGGATGACAAAGTCAAGTAAGCCCTTGACTCTGCAAAGCAACTCTTAATGTGGTTTTCTAGAGCGGTATCTTCCATTTCCCACAGTTTCATTTTCATAGCCAACCTTTGCTACTCCCCTATGCTCTAACCCACCACCACTCTTCTCCCTTCCTTCTTAACAGATCATGTGCAGAGAAAATAGCATCTGTGAGACAGGAAATTTTGAGATTCCTACTAACTTACCAGTGTCCCTAAATCCTTTTATTCTCCCCTTCTATTGATGCCTCTTCCTCTATAAACCAATTCTTTCATCAGTGCTCTGGATCCTACAGCTATCTGTGCATGTTCTAAGGGTGATAGTTCAAATGAATATTTTCATTTTGCATGTTCAACCTTGTCCCTTTCTCCTGATTCCTTCCTCTTGGCATTAAACATGTAAAAATATCTTTCCCCTTAAAACCAAAAATGCATTTGTGCATAAATCTTCACCTTATTTCAAGTCCATTATTAGCTACACTGTAACTATTACCTCTACTCATAGCTAAATGTCTCCAAGATTTTTCAATATTTTGTGTCACATTCATTCACACCTCAACACACTGAGGCTTTCCTTGTCTGGTTGTCTGAAGCTGCTTCAAGCTCACCAAAGTTAGTTGTGTGACTTATATTGCATATAGAATATACTTCTTTGCTCCCTTAGCACAATTTTGTACTATTGATCATTCATTCTATTTCAGAATATTATTTTTTGATGAAATCTATATTATTGTACTTCTGTCTTTCTCCTCCCTTGATAGCATTGCCCAATCTCATTTGTGTGCTTATCTTTCTTAAAATACATATTCTACAAGATTCTTTATGGCACCCTCATTTTCTATCATACTTAGATTCTCACTGAACAAATTTTATCAACTTCCATGTCTTCAATTTCCATTGACTTGCTGACTCCCTCATCTTTACCTCTTCTGATATTCAGTCCCTATACTCACCTGTCTTCTAGGCAGCTCTGCTTGTATATCCCATATGAAATTCAAAAATTATTAAAATATACCAGCAGATTTGTGAATACCACTATTTTTTCTGTTATAAATAATTAAAATATATGTGATATTGATATATATAAACAACAAAATGAAAATAATAAAATTAATGTTCTTAACAATGATGCAGACCCCAGAAACTTTAATCTTGAGCAGGCCTTTGATTTTATTTAGAACTTCTAGATTATAAACCGTGAGGCAAGGTGTCTCAAGCACCTAATGTGGGCTAGGGTTGGGAGCATATTATGTACTCAAAAATTATTTGGGAAATAAATAAAATAAATAGCTTAATATTTGAATGAATCTTAAAGGATTTTCTTTTTCCAAGTTGTGTTAACAAATTATTTTGCTCATCCTAATATTGATTACAATAATAGCAATGGCTAACATGTACTGATTAATTACATTGTGCCAGTTCCTCTGATTGTCATTTCATATATAATCTTTACCAGAATTCTATAAGTAGATATAATTCTTATTGCTATGTTATAAACACGGGAACAACTGGAGTTAACTGGGCAAATTAACCTCTTCAGTATCTTCAAACTGAATGTGTATAGGGGTTGGACTTGAATCAACATTGTCTAATACCCCATTATATATAATACAGTTATATTATATATATTATAATATATAACAGTTATATATATTATATATAGCTAAATATAATTATATATATTTATATATGAATTTTTAGAAAAAATAATACCTTCTATATTCCTGGTTCTTTGATACAGACATTCATATTCTGATGTTTTTGCTATTAGTAGGCCTCTTCGGATTCTCAGTAGGTGCACATGACTTAGGTGTCATCAATTACGATTATAGTTTGGATTGTCTTGAAAAAATAACTTAGAATATGCATTCAGAGGCTACAGTAATCAAAACAGGATGGTACTGGTACAAAGACCAACACATAGACCAATGGAACAGAATAGACAACCCAGAAATAAGGCACCTCACCTACAACCATCTGATCTTCCACAAAGCTAACAAAAACAAGCAATGGGGAAAGGACTCTGTATTCAATAAATGGTGCTGGGATAACTGGCTAGCTATATTCAGAAGATTAAAACTGGGCCCTTTCTTTATACTACATAAAAATATCAACTCAAGATGGATGAAAGACTTTAATATAAGACCCAAAACTGTAAAAACCCTGGAAGACAACCTAGGAAATACCGTGCTGGACCTAGAAACTGGCAAAGATTTTATAACAAAGATCCCAAAACCACTGCAACAAAAATAAAAATTGACAAATGGGACCTAATTAAACTAAAGAACTTCTGCAAACCAAAGGAAACTATCAACAGAACAAACAGACAATCTACAGAATATGAGAAAATATTTGCAAGCTATGCATCGAACAAAGGTCAAATATCCAGAATCTTTGAGGAACTTAAGTGTATGAACAAAAAAACAACCCATTAAAAAGTGGGCAAACGACATGAACTGACAGTTTTCAAAAGAAGACATGTATGTGACCAACAAGCATGTGAAAACATGCTCAACATCACTGATCATTTGAGAAATGCAGATCAAAACCACCATGAGATACCATCTTACAGCAGTCAGAATGGCTATTATTAAAAAGTCAAAAAATAGCAGATGCTGGAAGGTTGTGGAGAAAAGGGAACGCTTATACATTGCTGATGAGCATGTAAATTAGTTCAGCCATTGTGGAAAACAGTGTAATGATTTCTTAAAGAACTTGAAACAGAATTAGCATTCAACCCAGCAATCCCATGTTTGAGTATATATCCAAAAGAATATAAATCACTCTACCATAAAGACACATGGACGTGTATATTCATTGCAGCACCATTCACAATAGCAGACATGAAATCAACCTAAATTCCCATCAATGGTAGACTGAATAAATAAAATATGGAACATATACACCATGAAATACTATACGGACACAAAAAAGATCATATCCTTAGCAATAACATGGATGGAGCTGGATACTACTATAGTAAGTAAAATAACACAGGAACAGGAAACCAAATACTGCATTCTCTCATTTGTAAGTGGGAGCTAAACAAGAACACATGGACACAAAGAGGGGAACAACAGGCACCAAGGCCTGCTTGAGGGTGGAGTCTTGGAGGAGGGAGAGGATCAGAAAAATACCCATTGGGTACTATGTTTATTCTTGGGTGATGAAATAATCTGTACACCAGTCCCCTGTGACAAGCAATTTACCTGTATAACAAAACTGCACATGCACCCCTGAACCTAACACAGAAGTTATAATAATAATAAAAAAGAATGCTTAAGAGTTTATGTAAGAGTAAGGGAGATAGAATGCAAGTAGAAATTATGAGGAAATATTGGAATGGCCGAGAGATACAGTGTTTTCTCCATAGTAGAGGAAGAAAATACAGTAAATTTGGAAAAGATGGCAGAAACAATTGACACATGGACAAACAACTAACAAATATATCCTGCAGAGCCAATTAAAAACTGAAATATAAAATCCAGGTCAGATGGTTTTTATAATTGAAAAAAGACTATGGATGGCAAATAAGATGAATAAAAAAAGGATATTAGAAATATAATAAGGATAAACATAATTTAAATACGTTAAAATACATCTATAATTTTAAAAATATGAGGAGTGGAATAACCAGGAATTAAAATGACATATAGAAAAAAATCCATGTATCGGTTAGTGGGTTTTATTAATTTAGATTGCTGTCTTTGTACATATCTTTCCCAGAAATGTGAAGCAAAAAGGAAAATAAAATGTTGATTGCTATTCTGCTGGAGTAGAGCTGAATGGATGTGGGAAATCAGAGAATTTTTGTACTGATTATGGTTTTTTGCAGGAAGGGGAGTCATACCAATATTTTCTTCTCAGTTTGAACACAGTTTCATTTCACAGAAATTAATAGATAAGATACTTTGAACTGGAGTACACCTACTGATTTCTTCTGATGTCAGTCAGTTGTTAGAATGTATTTACTATGCTTTTCAAAATCAAAAGAAAATATTATAATCATTCAGCCACATAAACAGTGGAAGATTTTCCTTGGACTAAACAGATCTTTTGATCTTGAAGCTTTATACCTTTCCCATTTAAGCTATGAAAATATATAATCTTTACAGAAAATGTATGGACTGTTTCCTTTTAGAATTTTATCCTTGTCTCAAAAATAAACTATAATTAGAAAAGCTGTCTGTTAGTAACTAATTGCTTCTCCCTGCTATCAAACCAATTATAGAGACTAATTTTAAGAAAGGAAACTTTATAGTTGAGGCAAACTTAGGTAGGTGATAATCCTTCCCCCAACCCTTACTCTCCACCTTCCCCCAGTCCACTATCATGTTTCGCACAGCTAACTTCTGGTGGATAATATGGAAAGAAAAATTGTTTTCAGAAATTGCTTTAATTAGCAATGACTGGCATGAAGTGATAAATGGAAATGAATATTTTAGAAACTCAGAGATATATTATTTAATAATTATATTAAAGTAATAAGGTCATTTGAAGTAGCATTTTTATTTTTATTTTTTATTTTAATTTTTAAATTTTTTATTTTTTGAAACAGAGTCTCCCTCTGTCACCCAGGCTGGAGTGCAGCGGTGTGATCTGGGCTCACTGCAACCTCCGCCTCCCGGGTTCAAGCAATTCTCCTGCCTCAGCCTCCTGAGTAGCTGGGATTACAGGCGCCTGCCACAGTGCTTGGCTAATTTTTGTATTTTTGATAGAGACTGGGTTTCACTATGTTCACCAGGCTGGTCTCAAACTCCTGACCTCAGGTGATCCTCCCACGTCGGCCTCCCAAAGTGCTGGAATTACAGGCATGAGCCACTGTGCCTGGCCTGAAATAGCATTTTTAGATTAGACATTTAAAAACAGAATAAAATGTATGTATTAGTTAATAGCTTTATTAATTCAGGTTGCTGCTTTTGTACATATCTTTGCCAGAAATGTGAAGTGAAAAGGAAAATAAAATGTTGATTGCTGTTCTGCTGGATTAATAGCAAATTATAATAGAACCAATTACATTCGTTATATACTACTACTTTATTAGTTATGTACTTTTTTGGCTTTTGAATAAAATCATACTCTACCTTGCTTACTTTTAACAGGGAGAGTATTTTCTTCATGTTGATTTGATTTTGGAATCTGATTTTTTTTGTTAAATCTCAATCATGGTTGTTTTTATTTTTTTTTATTATACTTTAAGTTCTAGGGTACATGTGCACAACATGCAGGTTTGTTACATATGTATACATGTGCCATGTTGGTGTGCTGCACCCATTAACTTGTCATTTACATTAGGTATATCTCCTAATGCTATCCCTTCCCCCTCCCCCGACCCCACAACAGGCCCCCATGTGTGATATTCCCCTTCCTGTGTCCAAGTGTTCTCATTGTTCAATTCCTACCTATGAGTGAGAACATGCGGTGTTTGTTTTTTTGTCCTTGTGATAGTTTGCTGAGAATGATGGTTTCCAGCTTCATCCATGTCCCTACGAAGGACATGAACTCATCATTTTTTATGGCTGCATAGTATTCCATGGTGTATATGTGCCACATTTTCTTAATCCAGCCTATCATTGATGGACATTTGGGTTGGTTCCAAGTCTTTGCTATTGTGAATAGTGCCACAATAAACATACATGTGCATGTGTCTTTATAGCAGCATGTCAATCATGATTTTTTAAAATTTCCAACTTTTATTTTTAAATTCAGGGGTACATGTGCAGGATGTACAGGATTGTTACATAGGTAAATGTGTTCCATTGTGGTTTGCTGCACAGATCATCCCATCACCTTTGTATTAAGCCGAGCATCCATTAGCTATTCTTCCTGATGCACTCCCTCTTCCCACCCCCACCCTCAGATAGTCCCTGGTGTATCTTGTTTGCCCCCATGTGTCTATGTGTTCTCATCCTTCAGCTTCCACTTATAAATGAGAACATGTGATATTTGGTTTTCTGTTCTGCATTAGTTTGCTGAGGATAGTGGCTTCCAGCTCCATCCATGTTCCTGCACAGGACATGATCTCATTCCTTTTTATGGCTGCATAATATTCCATGGTGTATATATACCACATTTTCTTTATCCAGTCTATTGTTGATAGACATTTAGATTGATTCCATGTCGTTGCTATTGTGAATAGTTCTGCAATGAACATGTGCCTTTATGTATCTTTATAAAAGAACAGTTTATATTCCTTTGGGTATATACCCAGTAATGAGATTGCTGGATCAAATGGCATTTCTGCCTCTAGGTCTTTGAGGAATTGCCATACTGCCTTCCACAATGGTTGAACTAATTTATACTCTCACCAACAGTATATAAGCGTCCCTTTTTCTCCACGACCTCGTCAGCATCTGTTGTTTTTTTACTTTTTAATAATAGCCATTCTTATTGGTGTGAGATGATATCTCACTGTGTTTTTGATTTGCATTTCTCTAATGATCCGTGACGTTGAGCTTTTTTTCATGTTTGTTGGCCACATGTATGTTTTCTTTTGAAAAGTGTCTGCTCATGTCCTTTGTGCACTTTTTGATGCCATTGTTTTTGGCTTGTAAATTTGCTTAAGTTCCTTATAGATGTTAGGTATTAGGCCTTTGTCAGATGGATAGATTACAAAAATTTTGTCCCATTCTGTAGGTTATCTGTTTATTTTGTTGATAATTTCTTTGCTGTGCAGAAGCTCTTTAATTTAATTAGATTCCATTTGTCAATTTTTGCTTTCGTTGCAATTGCTTTGGCATCTTTGTCATGACATCTTGGCCTGTGCCTATGTCCTGAATGGTATTGCCTATGTTTTCTCCTAGGGGTTTTATAGTTTTGGGTATGTATTCACATATTTAATCCATCTTGAGTTGATTTTTGTATATGGTATAAGGAAGGGGTCCAGTTTCAATTTTCTGCATATGGCTAGCCAGTTGTCCCAGCACTATTTATTAAATAGGGAATGCTTTCCCCATTGCTTGTTTTTTTCAGGTTTGTCAAAGATCAGATAGTTGTAGGTGCGCAGTCTTATTTCTGGGTTCTGCATTCTGTTCCATTGGTCTATGTGTCTGTTCTTGTACCTGTACCATGCTGTTTTGGTTACTTTAGCTGTATAGTATAGTTTGGCATCAGGTAGCATGAAGCCTCGAGCTTTTTTTTTTTTTTTTGCTTAGGATTGTCTTGGCTATTTGAGCTCTTTTTTGGTTCCATATGAATTTTAAAATTCTTTTTTCTGATTCTGTGAGGAATGTCAATGGTAGTTTAATGAAAATAGCATTGAATCTGTAAATTGCTTTAGGCAGGATGACCATTTTCACGATATTGATTCTTCCTATCCGTGAGCATGGAATGTTTTTCCATTTGTTTTGTGTCATCTCTGATTTCTTTTAGCAGTGCTTTGTAGTTCCCCTTGAAGAGGTCCTTTATTTCCCTTGTCAGTTGTATTTCTAAGTATTTTATTCTTTTTGTGGCAGTTGTGAATGGAAGTTCATTTGTGATTTGGTTGTATGCCTGTTGTTGGTGTATAGGAATGCTAGCGATTTTTGCACATTGATTTTGTATCCTGAAACTTTGCTGAAGTTGCTTATCAGATTAAGAAGCTTTTGGGCTGAGATGATGGAGTTTTCTAGATTTAGGATCATGTTACCTGCAAACAAAGATAGTTTGACTTCCCCTCTTCCCATTCTAATACCCTTTATTTCTTTCTCTTGCCTGTCAATCATGATTTTTTTCAAATTGTGGTACACTATTAATAGGAGACAACGCTTTTCTAAAGCAGAAATCACTACGCATCTCAGATACCTCAAGTTGCATGTGATTTTAATTTAAATAATATAAAAAAGAATAATGTTCTAGGGTCCAAGTATATGTTTTCAATATATTAAAATTTATTTACATGAGATGAATATACAATTTATTGGTGTTTTTTTCTTTTCTGAAGATTTAATTGGATTTGAGGGAAATACAGGCTGCAATGGTGGGAATAGTTAAAAGTGAGTAGTCTTTTCCACTTTAAATAATCACTTTTAAATATGGTCCTGATGGATTTAAGGTTGTATTTGTTTAAACAAAAGCCACATATACAACTAGAAAGAGATAGTTCCTGAATTTTGGTTAAGAGTCCAGGTTTGAAAAGTTAGCCATTTTCTTCAAAAGAATGTGGAGTTTTAAAATAATTTCACATTTGAGGCAAATTCTTATCTTTCCAGAGACTGTAATACTAGAGACTAGTAAAAGTTAGAATTTTGGAAACAGATTACTTAAATCAGGCTTCGTTTTAATGGGGAATTCTGTCTTCCTTTTCTTTCTCATTTATTCTGTTTTGTGAATAACCCTTGACAGTCCTTTGGGTCTGTTGGTCTATATTTGCACGGTTTTCATGACTGTATGCGTGCCATGTACTCACGTACACATCGGCACAAATATCAGATGAGTCAGAAATTTAGTCCGTATCACTATTATTGGTGATTTTCTTATTACTTTAAAATAAAACATATATCTTCCTCATTATTCAGATAATAAATACTATTTCTAGTTACTATATAAAATCACAAAACGCATTAGAGAAGCACAATGAAAATTCCCACATTTACACGTTTTTCCAATGCTTGTATATGAATAAGTTAAAAAACAGTTGCAATCATAGTGCATTCATAAGTAGACATTGCAATTTTTAAAAATAGTGTCATAATATCTCTTAACTTAAAGTCTTTTCTCAATATGGGGTATTTAAAACAGTGTTCAGTGGAGAAATTACTAGTTCAAAGTATATGATAATTTTTAAGAAAATGGGTCAAAAATCTTATTTTTAATAAACGCTATTTCTTTCCAAAAATGTTTTTACCAATTTATGTTTCTATCTGCAAAGAAAGAAAGGACCCGTTTATCCCATCTTTGCTAAAATATAATTTTGTTACAAATAGTATTTAATTTTGATTTATAGTCCTTTAATATGCACAATTATTAATTAAATTAATTAGAAGTTTTGCAGAATGATAGGGGAAATGTCGCTTTGTTTACAGGTTGGCTTTTCATGTGCTTGTACACATAATGGTAATCTCTGCTTACCTGTTATATCTCGCATTATATTTTTCCTTTTCTCCTATATTTATGGCAGATTTTCTTGTTTTTTAACATCTGTGTTTTCTATTAATGGATTATACACTCCATTATATTAGTTGCTTTATATTGATTGACAAATTATCATCTTTAGCAATATTATATGACAAGTTTTCTTTGCTAATAAGAATATGAATTTTAAGTCCATGAGGACTTGAAACTTTTACTTTACTGTTAATTAATTGGAGAGTATTCAATATTTGGAATATTTAGTTCTTTATGTAATTATTTACTTCTTTCCTCTAATTGCCTGTCTTTTAAGGCACTTAACTTATGATTAACAACTTTACCAGGAAGTTTGCAGGAAAAAAACCGAAGCTCCAAGTCAAATTATTAAATATGTTTATATAAGCTTTAATGAGTTGTTTTGTTTTTTCCCCTGTGGAAGAAGACTATTTCACCTATTAATACTTTATTAACTAGTTTAAGAAAAGAGTGCATTTATTCCATGGATAAGATGTTGTTAAAAATCAATCATTAAAATATGGGAGCAGACAAATAAAACTTTGTTTACATTTGTGCAAGTTTAGTATACCTCTAGAGTACCCTGTAAAAGCCCCTTCTTCATCTCCCCTTTATGCTACTGGGGGTTCTTTTGTGTCTAGGGTTCTGTGCTTTTGTTTGACTTTATTTCACTTTCTATCCCCCATTAATTGTCAACCAGACTAGTCAGAGTGACTCTGATACAATTTTACAAGATAATATATTATTCCTCATTATTTTTCTACAAATAAATGCCCCTGTTTTGAAATGGAAGCCTAGATAAGAAATAACCACATTATTCTACACATTTCAAAGAAAGAACACTTGTAATATATTTCTTACATATTTTGTCATGAAGAATTCAGAAGCCTTAAGGCCAACTAGGAAGCTGCAGTTTAGATTTTCTAATGGTTGGATGTCTCAGTGGAAACATTTATTTTCTTTTTAATCAGGAGATTTATGGCAGAAGATGGCCAGCTAGCTGATAGATGTCTACTGGGAACTGTCTAAATGCTCTAGTGTTGTTTTAAATCTCTAGTTTTATATCTACTTGAACATTCTGAATTTCTCCCTTCCCCTCTTGAGGACTATTAATGAACAAGCTTGAATCATTGGTTTGCCGTGTTATAAGATGAACACTGAGCAGTCATTAAATGCTATATCAAATGAACTATGATAAATTTTTAGGTTGATGAATAGGATTTTTAAAATCACTAAATTTCATTATGTTTTTGAGGCCCATATATTCCTTTTTAAAAGCTTTCTTTATGAGGACTTCTTAATTTCATTATATTTTAATAATAATCTATTCCTTTTAAAGTCCCAATATCATATATTTTAGGTTTTGACAACCATAGCATCTTCATAGAATGAATATCCCTAAATTCAAGCATGGCTGAAGAGAGCTATGGGTAACAAATTGCCTTGACACAGGACATCTGCCTTATAAAATGTTACTGCTTTCTAAACATTCTCTGTAAATTTATCTCCACCCTTATTTCACTCACTCTATGGCCAAGTATTGTTTGTCACTTCATTCTCTCAACATTTGTAGTTATGTATAAAAACTATCTGTTAGGAGTTTTACATATTGGAATTACTCCATATGTTTCATACATCATTTTCTTATCCCTAATCCACTGCTTTTGTATATCTCCCCTCCTGGATCCTAAGACAAAAGGCAGGAATTGTGTCTTGTTGTCTGTTTTGTTTTCTTCTCATATTTCTTTTTATTTAATTCAAGAGAAAAGTTGAAAATACCTCACAGTACCTGCCTATCAGACAATGTGAGGTCGAGTGGGCCACAGCACTGGCATCACCCCAGGTTGTTAGACATGTGCTATCCCCGGCCTTATCCCAGCCCTACTGTACAGAAATCTGCATTTTATTTTATTTTTCTTTCCAACATTTATTTTAGGTTTACGGGGGCAGGTGGAGGTTCGTTACATGGGTAAATTACATGTTGTGGAGGTTTGGTGTGCAGATTATTTCGTCACCCAGGTAATGAGAATAGTACACAAAAGGTAGTTTTTCAGTACTTAACTTCCTCATACCCTCCACCTTCAAGTAGGCCATTGTGTCTGTTTTTTCTTCTTTATGTCTATGTGTACTCAATGTTTAGCTTACACTTATAAGTGACAACATGCTGTATTTGGTTTTTCTGTTCCTGTGTTAATTCTTTTAGGACAATGGCCTCCAGCTCCATCCATGTTGCTGCAAAAGACACGGTTTCATTCTTTTTATGGCTGTATAGTATTCCATGGTGTGTATTTAGCACATTTTCTTTATTTAGTCTACCAGTGATGGGCATCTAGGTTGATTCCATGTCATTGCTATTGTGAGTAGTGCTGCAATGAACATACACATATATATGTCTTAATAATAAAATGATTTATATTCCTTTGGGTATATACCTACTGATGAAATGGCTATGTCAAATGGTAGTTCGGTTTTAAGCTCCTTGAGAAATCTTCAAAACGTTTTCCCCATTGGCAGAACTAATTTACAGTCTTATTAGCAGTGTATAAACATTCCCTTTTCTCCACAATTTTGCCAGCCTCTGTTATTTTTGAATTGTTAATAGCCATTCTGACTGGTGTAAGGTGGTATCTCATTGTGGTTTTGATTTGCATTTCTCTAATTATTAGTGACGTTTATCGTTTTTCCTTATGTTTGTTGGTCACATGCATGCCTTCTTTTGAGAAGTGTCTGTTCATGTCTTTTGTCCACTTTTTAATGGGGTTTGTTTTTTGCTTGTTTATTTAAGTTCCTTATAGATTCTGAATATTAGACCTCTGATGGATGCATAGTTTGCAGATACGTTCTTCCTTTCTGAGGTGAGGGTTGTCTGTTTGTTGTCTGCTTGGCAGAGGCTCTTTAATTTAATTAAGTCCCACTTGGGAATTTTTGTTTTTGTTGCAATTGCTTTTGGCATCTTCATCATGAAATCTTTGCTGGGACCTATGTCCAGAGTGGTATTTCCTAGGTTATCTCCTAGAGTTTTTATGGTTTTAGGTTTTGCATTTAAGTCTATAGTCCATCTTGAGTTGACTTTTACATATGGTGAAAGGAATTTCAATTTTCTGCCTATGACTAGCCAGTTATCTCAGCATCATTTATTGAATAGGAAGTCCGTTCCTCATTGCTAGTTTTTTTTACTTTGTTGAAGATCAGATGGCTGTAAGTGTATGGCTTTATTCCTGGGTTCTTTCTTCTGTTCCACTGGTCTATGTCTGTTTTTGTACCAGTAAGTACCATGCTGTGTTGGTTACTGTAGTCTTGTGGTATAGTTTGAAGTCAGGTAGTGTGATTCCTCTGGCTTTGTTTTTCTTGCTTAGTATTGCTTTGGCTATCTGGGCTCTTATTTGGTGCCATATGAACTTTAGAATAGTTTTTTTCTAATTCTGTGATGAATGTCCTTGGTAGTTTGATAGGAATGGTATTGAATCTGTAAATGGCTTTGGGCAGTATAGCCATTTTATCAGTATTGATTCTTCCTTCTCATGAGCATAGACTGTTTAACCATCTATGTTATCTCTGATTTCTTTCAGCAATGTTTTGTAATTCTCAATGTAGAGATATTTCATTGTCCTGGGTAGCTGTATTGCTGTATTCCTAAGTGTGTGTGTGTGTGTGTGTGTGTGTGTGTGTGTGTGTCTATTGTGAATGGGATTGCCTCTTTGATTTAGATCTCAGCTCTGACATTATTGGTGCATAAAAATGCTACTGATTTTTGTACATTGATTTTGTATGCTGAAGCTTTGCTGAAATTGTTCATCTGATCTAGTAGCCTTTTAGCAGAGACTGTAGGGTTTTCTAGTATAAAATCCTATTGTCCACAAACAGAGATAGTTTTATTTACTCTCTTTCTATTTGGATAGCTTTTATTTCTCTCTCTCGCTTGATTACTCTCACTATGACTCCCAGTATGTTGCTGAATAGGAGTAGTGAGAGTGGGCTTCCTTGTCTTTTTCTAGATCTTAAGGAGAACGTTTCCAGCTTTTGCCTATTCAGTATGGTGTTTGTCATTGGCTGCGGTTTTGTCATAGGTGGCTCTTATTTTAAGATATACTCATTTCATGCCTAGTTTGTTGAAGGTTTTTAACATGATGCCATGTTGAATTTTATTGAAAACTTTTTCTGTGTCTATCAAGATGATCATGTGGTTTTTATTTTTAGTTCTGTTTATGTGCTGAAGCACATTTATTGATTCACGTATGTTGAACCAACCTTGCATCCTAGGGATAAAGCCTACTTGATCATGGTGGATTAGCTTTTCAATGTGCTGCTGGATTCAGTTTGCTAGTATGTTGCTTTTACCTCTATGAGGATTTTTACATCTATGGTCATCAGGGATATTGGCCTGATATTTTCTCTTTTCTTTGTGTTTGTTTTTAGGTTTTGGTATGATAATGATACTGGCCTCACAGAATAAGTGAGGGAGGATTTCTTCCTCCTCAATTTTTGGGAAGAGATTCAGTAAGATTGGCACCAGTTCTTTATATGTCTGGTAGAATTTGGCTGTTAATCCCTCTCATCCAGGGCTTTATTTGGTTGGTGGGTTTTTTATTACTTATTCAGTTTTGGAACTCACCCGGGAATTTATCCATTTCTTCTGTTTTCTAGTCTGTGTTAATAGAGGTGTTTATAATAGTCTGAGGTTTTTTGTATTTCTGTGGAGTCAGTGATAATGTCTCCTTTGTCACTTATGATTGTGTTTAATTTTCTCCCCCTTTTTATTATTCTAACTAGTGGTTTATTAATCTTATTTATTTTTTCAAAGAACCAACTTTTGGCTTCATTGATCTCTTCTATGGTTTTTCATATCTAAATTTAATTTAGTTTAGCTCTGTTTCTGGTTATTTCTTTTCTTCTGCTTGCTTTGAGATCAATTTGCCCTTGTTTTACTCGTTCCTTTAGGAGTGATGTTATGTTGTTAATTTGAGATCTTTTAAACTTTTTCATGTGTGCTATAGACTTTCTTCTTAATACTGCTTTAGCTATGTCCCAGAGATTCTGGCATGTTACTTCTTTGTTTTTCTTAGTTTCAAAGAATTTCTTGATTTCTACCTTAATTTCATTGTTTGCCCAAAAGTCATTCAGGAGCAGGTTAATTTCCATGTAATTGTATGTTTTTGACAGATCTTCTTTTTCTTTTTTTTCTTTTTTTCTGTCTTTCTTTTTTTTTTTTTTTTTTGAGATGGAGTCTCGCTCTTGTTGCCCAGCCTCGAATGCAATGGTGCAATCTTGGCTCGCTGTAACCTCCGCCTCCTGGGTTCAAGCGATTCTCCTGCCTTAGCCTTCCCAGTAGCTGGGATTACAGGGGCCTGCCACCACGCCTGGCTAATTTTTGTATTTTTAGTAGAGATGGGGTTTCACTATATTGGTCAGGCTGGTCTCAAACTCCTGACCTCAGGTGGTCCTCCTGCGTTGCCTTCCCAAAATGCTGGGATTACAGGCATGAGCCACTGTGCCTGGCCCGACAGATCTTCTTAGTTTTGATTTCTATTTTTATTGCTCTGTGTTTTGAGAGTATGGTTGGTATGATTTCAGCTTTTTTAAAAATTTGTTTATAATTGCTTTATGGGTGAACATGTGATTGATTTTAGAGTATTTGCCATGTACAGATGAAAATTATACATCTTCTGTTTTTAAGGGATGAAGAGTTCTGTATATGTCTGTTAGGTACATTTGGTCAAATGTTGAGTTCAGGTCCTGAATTTCTTTGTTAGTTTTCTGCCTCAATGATCTGTCTAATACTGTTGGTTGGGTGTTGAAGTCCCCCATTACTATTGTGTGGTTATCTAAGTCTCTTTGTAGGTTCCTAAAAAGAGAATTTCTGTGCCCCAGTGTTGGTTGCAAATATAATATTCTTCTTTTGTCTTTTTTGATCTTTGTTGCTTTAAAGTCTGTTTTGTCTGAAATTAGAATAGCAACTCAATATTTTTTTGGCTTTCTATTTGCTTGGTAGATTATTGTCCATACCTTTACTTTGAGCCTATGGGTATCATTGCATGTGAGATGGTTCTCCTGAAGTCAGCATATGCTTGAGTCTTTCTTCTTTATCCAAATCTTCACTTTGTGCCTTTTAAGTGGGGTGTTTATCCTGTTAAGTGGGGATGTTTAGCCTCTTTATGTTTAAGGTTAATACTGATATGTGTAGATTTGATCCTGTCATCATGTTGTTAGAGTAGCTTGTTATGTAAACTTGATCATGTAGGTGTTTTATAGCGTCAGTGGGCTATTTATTTAAGTTTGTTTGTTTGTTTGTTTTTTTGGTGGCCAGTAATGGTCTTTCATTTTCATGTTTAGCACTCCCTTAAAGACCTCTTGTAAAGTGGGTCTGTGATAACAAATTCCATTAGCTTGTCTGAAAAGGATTTTATTTCTCCTTCTCTTACGAAGCTTCATTTGGCTGGATAGGAAATTCTTAGTTGGACTTTCTTTTCTTTAAGAATACTGAATATAGGCCCCACAGTCTCTTTTGGCTTATAAGGTTTCTACTGAAAAGTCCATTATTAACCAGATGGGGTTCCATTTGTAGGTCACCTGCCTCTCCTCTCTAGGGGCCTTTAACATTTTTCTTTCATGTTGACCTTGGAGAATCTGATGACTGCATGTCTTGGGGATGGTCATCTTTTACAGTATCTCAGAGGATTTTTCTGAATGTATCTTTAATGCCTTAGCACAGTGTTGGCATTTATGTGGGCACTAAATTATATCTGTTGGATAAATGAAAGGAATATTTTAGCTTTATAATTAAGGTGGTAATTTTATTCTTAAAGTAATACATGATTGTAGCAAAAATTCAAGCTTGCAGAAGACTGTAAATTCTGTTGTTCGGAGATTACCAAGTTTAGTGAGTGTATCTGTAAATTTTCTGGGAATGTGAAAATTTACACAGACAGACACACATACATATTTCCTGCTTTTTTGTGTGTGTGATGATCTCAGGTCTGTGAAGGTTCTGGAATTTGATTTTACCTCACATAAAAGCTAAAAGTTAGCTTGTTATTATGTCATGGATTTGGGCAGAATGGACTTCTGTATTAGAGCAAAGGACATTTTTTACTCATGGCACAGGAAGTACATGAACCATCAAATGTCACGTGTCAATGCAGTTTGTCACATATTGGTCTTTTAACACATGCTTGCATATACGGATATCCATTCTATGAAGATGCTATGACTATAAAAGTACAATATATGTTTGTGTGTGTTCCACTTGCTTCCTGTGTCCTATTGAGGGTATGTGGATAGCCCCAGTGGATTCCTACTTACATGGTGGGTTGCATTACAGAAAAAGACCAATAACCTTAGATAAGCTACTATTTTATAATAAACATTTTTCAATATTCCTTACTGCAAACACAGTTATGAAAAGTGGCCTGGCTGTTTGGGGCCTTGCATTCTTGGCATCCCCAGCAAGAAGTATTAGGAGTTTATGAGAGTGGAGGAGTGTCTCTCAATGATATCCACTTTTGATCTTTGATCATGTTGGCTTCTGGTGAAATTTCATGTGATTATGGCACTCCATTGAACACCCTAAATAATATGACAGTGGCTGGGGTCAGATGTATTTAGTTTTTCTCATACAGCATTTATATAAGGCTATTATGAGCAGAACTTCTAACAACAGGATTAGGCCAACTTGGAGTTTTGACTTTACTCATGTTTCCCTGTGGTCCGGGACTCAGTCACTGTAAATAAGTCTAAGAGGATATCAATAGGTTTTATTCTATAAAGCCAAACTGTGGTAGTCTAAGAACAGTGTATTATCCAGCACAACTGACACAAGGGAGTTTACATAGAACTGCTTATCTTTGGTTATCATTGCAATAGATGATTTAATAGAATCTGAATTTCCATGGAGAGATAGTCCATGGCTCACTCAGCCCATATACAAACATATAGCCCAAAGGGACATAAATCTGTCCAATCAGGATTTTTTATTTAACTTTATTTGGATCATCATTACATTGGTCTGATTAAGCATGTGTCATGTCACTGAAGAGTTGTAGCCTGGATTGTTTACATGGCATAAGCCAAAGTGCTCAGATATCAGGAGAAGCAAGTGAATTTCTATCAGCCAGATAGAAACAATGTTATGCAAGTTCCTGTGTTTGTTTAGGTGGGAGGAAGGGTATCTTTTTGGGAGCAGCCATTTATGGCATCAGGCACAGCAGAGCAGTTCAGGACTGGCCATGCCCACATGAGTTTTTCTGTTTCATAGCACTTGGAAGAGATGACAAATGGAACAGCAGGCTGGATTGTCAGCCACAGATGCTACTTCACTCAGGCAGGCCATATGATTATTTTGCCAGGCTCTGATTCTGGATCTAGGTGACAAACAGAGCATTAATTAACCCATCCTCTTCCCCACAACTCTTGGTGTACAAGCCATTTCTTCCCCAGATGTCAGTTATTGCTTTCTCCACAGCCATGAAATTTTGTGTGCCCTATTTCAGTATAACTTTGCTTTACTTCTCTCCAGTCCTCTATTAATCTAACCCAGAGCTTTGATATGAAAGTATTAAATGCAAGTGGAACAGAGACATTTTTACAAAATATACAGAGACTCATTATACCTCCCATGTTTGCCCACATAGGCCATTGTAGAGGGATTCAGTTAGCAGTAGAGTTAGCTGTCTGTGTCTGCAGTTTCTGCATTCGCAGATTCAAGTAACCTTGGATTGAAAATATTTGTGAAAGAACACAATAAAAATAGAAATACAACAATAAAATCACAGATAAAAACAATTTAGCATTAACAACTATTTGCATAACACTCACATTGTATTAGGTGTTATGAATAATCTAGAAATGACTTAAGGACTACAGGAATATGTGCATAGGTTATATACAAATACTATGCCATTTTATATAATGGACTTGAGCTTTGAGTTTGGAAAATCTAATACCTTGACTATCATTTTATTATTAGGTGGCCTTTGCAACAAATGGCACAACATTGCCAGACTGTAGATGGTCTGGAAACCAGCAAATATGACCCAGTTTAGTTTCATGGGCCACAGTGGTATGGCTGGAGGTGACTGATTGGCCTGAAACAGCAGCCCTGTAGCCTGAAACCAGGTAGGATGGTGATGTAGGCACCTTTATCACAGAGAGCCATAAATATTCTTATTCCCGCCATCCCTTCTTAGCGATGAACCATACTTGTGTTTCAGGCCAAGGATAGGATTTACAATTTATTTTAAATGTGATAGAAGCTGTTGATCAATAATGAGCAGAACAGGGAAGATATCTAATTAAATTTAATTTTTTTTTTTTTTGAGACAGTCTCACTCTGTCACCCAGGCTGGAGTGCAGTGGCATGATCTTGGCTCACTGCCATCTCCACCTCCCGGGTTCAAGTGATTCTCCTGCCTCAGCCTCCTGAGTAGCTGGGACTACAGGCGTGTGCCACCATGCCCGGCTAGTTTTTTGTATTTGTAGAGACGGGGTTTCACTGTGTTAGCCAGGATGGTCTCAATCTCCTGACCTTGTGTTCCGCCCACCTTGGCCTCCCAAAGTGCTGGGATTACAGGCGTGAGCAACCGTGCCTGGCCATTAAATTTAAATTTTAACAGGAACCACCTGCCTTTTGTGAGAAGACTAGATTATAATGGGGG
The DNA here is from genome assembly GCF_000001405.40 of Homo sapiens. Taxonomy (NCBI): domain Eukaryota; kingdom Metazoa; phylum Chordata; class Mammalia; order Primates; family Hominidae; genus Homo; species Homo sapiens. The sequence goes on from NC_000002.12 coordinate 153,937,080, forward strand.
TGCATTTAAGATGCTAAGACATAGCATATGATCAAGCAATTCTACACCTAGGTATATACCCACGAACAATGAAAACATATGTCTACAGAAAATTTGTACCTAAATGTTAACAGCTTAAATTTTTCATAATAGTCAAAAGGTAGAAACAACACAAATGTGCATCAAGTGATGAATGGATAAATAAAATGTGTATAGCTATACAATGGAATATTATTTGGCAATAAAAAGAAATGAAGTACTTGTATATGCTACAATGTGAATGAACATTGAAAACATTGTGCTAAATGAGAGAAGACAGTCATGAAGGCAACATATTGTATGATTCAATTTGTATGAAACATTCAAAATAGGAAAATTCATAGCCAATAAATCAGATTAGTAGTTACTTATGTCTATGGATGATGGTAGGATTGAGGGTTCTAGCAAAGGGGAGTGGTTTACTTTTTGAGGAAAGGAAATGCCCTAAAATTGATTGTGGTGATAGACACACAATGTGTGACTATATTGCATTGTATACTTTAAATGAGTGAATTATCAGATATATGAATTATATCTCAATAAAACTTTTTTAAAACAATCTAAGGCAGCATTTCAAAATCCTGGTGGCTGCTTGGTCTATAGTTGTAGTGGTGGAATTGGTGAAAAGTGGCACAGAATTTGCTGCACAATCAAATATGGAATGTGAAAGAAACAAGTTGCTAGAAAGGAGTACACGGTTTATGGCCAACCTATACCAAATGCTGCTGAGTATTTATGTAAGATGATGATTAAGAATTGATCATTGGATTTGACCGTGACCTTATCACATGAGGTTTCCACGTAGTGGCAGGACCTAAAGCCTGTGAAGTTTAAGAGAGAATGGGAAGATAGGGATGTATAGACATATGTAATTATTGTCAAAAGTTTTACATTAAGGGTGAGTAGATGGATGTAGGGATACCTGAAGAGAGGTGTATGGTGAAATTACTTTATTCAAAGATTATTATTAATATAACATCTTTGCATATTGGTAATAATGACTTGTTAGAGAAGATAAACTAATGCAGAAGAGAAAAGTGCATTAGTCAAATCCTTGAATATGTGAGGGTAGAGGGTATTGCATTCTTTAAAGGGACAGTTCACCAGGGTAACAGTTGGACTTGTAGAATTTGGTATGGTAGTAATGGAAACAAGCAAGCAATACATTTAACATGGCAGTATGCAAAATTCTCTTCTGATTGTTTATATGTTCTCTGTTAAATGTAGATGCATAGTGATCAGCCATGAGAAAAAGAAAGTGTGGAGATGACAGTATGAGGAAGTCAAATAAGCTGCAAAATTGTTGTCTGAAAGATGGAGATTGATTTGGACTCCACTGCAGTGTGGGCTCATAGATTTAAAATGAGAAGTGGTGGAATAATTTGGGAGTTTCATGACAGCCATGTTCACCTGTTTGCATGTAGAAGTGGAGTATAGGAAAGTGAATTTAACTAGCCAGTGTTTTAGTTTGCTGGGGCTGCCCTAATGAATACCACAGACTGGGTGCCTTAAACAACAGAAATATATTTTCTCTCACATTTCTGGAGGCTAGAAGTCCAAAATCAAGATGTCAGCAGTGTTGATTTTATTCTGAGTCCTCTTTTTGTGGTTGGTAAATGGACGCCTTCTCTCTGTGTCTTCACATGGTTTTCCTGTGTCCTAATCTCCTTGAAGGGTACCAGTCATATTAGATTAGGGTCCACCCATCACACTTCATTTTGTCTAATTACCTTTTTAAATCCCCTATTTCCAAATATGGTTCCATTCTAAGATACTAGGGGTTAGGACTTGCACCCATGGATTTTTGGAATGTGGCAGGCAAGGGCAATTCAGCCCATAACAACAAATGCTGGAGTTTTAAAATTTAAATATATTGGAGTGAGAGAGGGCGTATGTAAGAGAAGCGTAATCCTGTTCTCATATAGCTTACCATTTAAGAAAGGGGGACAAATAAGAAACAAAAAAAACCCCACAATTTTTCAATAAATTGGGGGTGATAATTGCTAAGAAGGAAAATTAAGTGGGGTGAGAAGACAGTGAGTAAGGTGTGTGTGCTGTTTTATATAGGCTGATAGGAAAGCTCGTGGTGATGTGACATTTGAGCAGGAAGGAAGGAAGATCTGAAGGAAACAAGAGCAGGGAGCCATGAACCTATGACTGGGCAGAGAAAGCACAATCGCACATGCCCTGAGGCAAGCTAGTAATTCGTATATTTAAGGAACAGCCAGGAGACCTAAGTCACTGATGTGAACATGGTAGGAAATGAGATCAGAAAGGCATGAAGTAGAAGCTCTCTTATCTGGTGAACTTGTGACTACAATTTATTTAATCAAAAGTTGATGATATCAGGGAATCATATGATACCTATTTACCTTTAAAAGGGAGGTACAATTTACATTGAGTGAAATGCACTGATCTTAAGTGCATAGTTCAATGAGTTTTCACTATTGTAAAACCTTGTGTGACTCATACCACATTAGAAACTACATCTAAAATAGTTCTGCTTTGTGGTACTTTTGTTATCCAATCCCCTGAACACCTATACACTGAGCATGCAATGTTTCTGCAAGGGTGGGTAGGGAGAATCCTCATTGTTTTTTCTTGCTCTTAGAATGATGTTTCTGATGATAACAATATGTGTTACTACTAGTAATAATAACTAATCTATATTGAGTTCTTATGTGCCAGGCACTGTTATAAGAGGTTACGTGTTACATCCCTGTACTCATCCTAGCCTTACAAGGTAACTACTATTCGCATTTTGTGAGTAGGAAAACCAAGGCATTAAACATTTAAGGAACTTGAATCAAGTTGCACAATTAGTGAGTGTTGAAACCCAGACTCAAATCATGACAATGTAACTCTGAAACGTTTTCTTTTACAGGCTATGTTAGGTTCCCTCCTGAGAATTGAATTTTAGCGTATCATCAATATTCTCCCTTTCCTTAGTGTATATGCAAATGAGGGCATTTTTTGTTGTTGTTTTTTTCAGTTTTGTTTATTGCTTCTCTTCTACCATCTTTCAGTAAAAGGCATTTATTTAGCATTATATTTGTTGGCTTCTTTGTCTCTTAGTTTAACCTTTAGTGTGATGTGGTTATTACAGTGGACACTTTGGTTTAGGCTGTGAGTGGATTTCCTGGGTTTAACTTAAGTTTTTGTCTTTTTTTTTTTTTTTTTGACAGAGTCTTGCTCTGTTGCCCAGGCTGGGGTGCAATGGTACAATCTCAGCTCACTGCAACCTCCGCCCCCCAGGTTCAAGTGATTTTCCTGCCTCTGCCTCCTGAGTAGTTGGGATTACAGGAGTCCGCCACCACGCCCAGCTAATTTTACATTTTTAATAGAGACCGGGTTTTGCCATGTTGACCAGGCTGGTTTCGAACTCCTTACTTCAGGTGATCTACCTGCCTCAGCCTCCCAAATTGCTGGGATTACAGGTGTGAGCCACCGTGCCCGGCCAATTTCTTATCTTTATTCATACAAAGATCTGTTTTCCTATCAGTTAGACCTGAAGCTAATTTATGGTATTTTTTCAGGGCTTACTCACTACGTTTATCAGCCCATAAACCAAACTGCAAAATTATTTGGTCATTAGTTCACAGAAGCTCCTGCCTAACTATTTAAAACATTTAAAGTATGCTGAGTGCCTGAAACTTCTGGAAGCATTACCAGCAGCCTTACACTAGTTTCCAGGATCCCTTGGCAGCCTCAAGGATAGCCTCAGAAAATAGACTGAAAACATTTGCTCCCATTACACAATTTTCTACAAAAGAAAGTTTATGACTATAGATAAAAATATGTCTAATAGCAAGTAAAATAGATTCCCTAAGTAATAACTTCCTAATTAAAAAAGAACAACAAATAAAAAACCAAAGCAAAAACAAAAGCTTTTTTCTTCTTAATTTAACAACATAGTTACAAAACCCTAAACTTTATCTAGATTTTATTTCTTATATTTAACATCAAAATTTTTTTTGAGATGGAGTTTCTCTCTTGTTGCCCATGCTGGAGTACAGTGGCACTATCTCCGTTCCATTACAGGCACACGCCACCTTGCCTGGCTAATTTTTGTATTTTTAGTAGTTACAAGGTTTCAGTATGTTGGCCAGGCTGGTCTTGAACTTCTGACCTCAGATGATCCGCCCGCCTCAGCCTCCCAGAGTTCTGGGATTACAGGCATGAGCCACTGTGCCTAGCCTTAAAATCAATTTTTAATAAAGATAGGAAATATGGTACACATTTTCAAGTAAAAATCCTATAACATAGACAATCTTGCTGATACCATTACTTAATGTTTTTGAAACAATTAGGAAAAGGGTAATAGTATTGGATAGAAAAGTCTGTAGTTCATGCAAGTTGCTCATGCACTACACTGGTTTGGCAAGCCAGGGATATTGAAGAACTTGGATTTTCTGACTGAGAAACAGAACAGTATTTGCAAATAAGTAGGGGTTTCCTGGAATAGAAACATAATACAGATGCTGATTCTCTTAAATAAACCTGGGCCACCAACTGTGCTTACGTTGGTTAGTATTCTGTGTTTAAAGTACCATTTTTCTGCTCAGTTTTCTTCTTTTAAGAGGAATATTGAAATACAATATATAAGATTATTATTTTATAAGTGCCAGGGGATTAGATTTCTGTGAATGATAAAGTTTAGCCTGTTTTCAAGGTGTAGGTGTTTTCAAAATATAGGTAAATTTCCAAATTAAAAAATACAAGCAGAGTCTGTTTCATAATTACATAAGAAGTTTAAACAGCAACTTAGTTTTTCACATGATATAGTTAGAATTCTTTCAGTGCTAATGTCTTAATATATAGCACTAGCAGGCTATGAAATTAGGATAATTTGAATACTGCTTGAAGTGGCAATAATATGTAATTTTGACTTTTTATCATAAATAAAGTTTAAGTTAAATTCTCAATAACCTCAACTGTTAGGCTTTTATTAGGAAATGACTTATCTTAGACATTTCAATATTTAATTAATACTGAGTGATTTCAGATTTTCTATTATAATAATATTCTTCATCTTTTCTTGAACGATTTTTTAAATTCTTTATCTTGATTAAGCCTCACAATATTTTGTGAGATTGATGGGGCAGGAAATATGTTATAAACAAATGAAGCACTGAGAAGCAAGATACCTACCTAAGGTCATCCCTTTATTTGATGACAGAGCCAGGGATGGTGCTGTTTACATCTTCCAGGATCATTTATGTATATGGCACTCCTTATAAACTTGGGAATGGCCGTGTAGTGACCGTCAATGTTATAGGTACTTCTCCATGGAATTATTTTCTACAATAAAGTGAAAGGATCTACCCTATCTTAAGACTGAAGACAGAACATTTGATAGCTTGAATTGTTTCATATCTCAAATTTAGAAAAGAATGTACACGGTAACAGGAAATAAATATGGGATAATCATTCCTTTATTATCAGGTTTAGAGGCTGATTTCCAATATTTAGCTATCATTTTTATAGAAAATTAAAGTGGAAATGAAACAAAGTAGATAATAACATGTTACTTTTTTCTAAGAAAAAAAACCCCAAATGTCATGTATTCTTTGGATTTACATATATCTCTCCATTATATATATATATACACATTCTGAATAAATGTAAATGTAATTTTTTTGTAATTACTAAAATAAAATCTGTTACAATAATTATTTTGTAACTGGCGCTTTATGTGAATTTTGAATTTGTTGCTAGTTTAGGTTGGTTATAACAGGCAACAGAATTTCTGTTGCTTTATGGTGCTGTCAGCTGCTGTTAATTTAAAGAGCTTGTGCTCATCAAATTATACTTTGATGTTTTTGAGACAAACGTTTATGAAATATTTCAAGTGTCTTTGTATTTAATACTGTTCACCCCAATTAGCTCTGTCAAAACTTCATCACTTATCTTATTCACATCAATAAGCTTACATTTTACTCGATATTATTTAAAATGTAACAAATGATATCAGAATATGTTTTGTCTGATTTACTTACTTTATAGATAAAAGTTGGTTAACCAGGTAGTTAAACAAATGTAGTAGTATAAATAAAATGCTCAATGTAGTATAAATAAAACAAATAAGTGTAAGGTATTCATTCTACACTTACCTTGAAAAATGTCTCTTAATAATTATGTACATATCTTTGTTATAGCCTTTAAATTCTTGCTCTGATTATTTTAAATCATTTATGTTAATATATTTTTCCCCTGATAAATTGGATGCGTGCTATCTATTCTAAACACACATTTATTGTAGATACTTTCTCTGCAGATCAGCTGGGATTTTAGAGGCTGTGTAATTATTGATCGTGTCTTGCAATTGCTCTACTTAAGAATATGAGAACAATTTTTTCTGTTTTATGTATTTATTTTATTTTATTTTTACGTATGTATGTATTTTTTTTTTTTGAGACAGAGTTTTGCTCTTGTCACCCAGACTGGAGTGCAATTGTGTGATCTCAGCTTACTGCAACCTCCACCTACCAGGTTCAAGTGATTCTCCTGCCTCAGCCTCCTGAGTAGCTGGGATTACAGGCACGTGCCACCATGCCTGGCTAATTTTTGTATTTTTAGTAGAGACGTGGTTTTACCATGTTGGCCAGACTGGTCTCAAACTCCTGACCTCAGGTGATCCGCCTGCCTCGATCTCTCAAAGTGTTGGGATTACAGGCGTGAGCCGCCGTGCCCAGCTCTGTTTTATGTTTTATTAATTATCTGTTCTGCAAGATGCTTTATAAATATGATTCTACATAATCCTCATAACAAATGAGGTTTAGCTTTGGCATTTCTATCCACATTATACAGATGAGAAAACTGTGGCTTAGAAAGTCTTCTATTCTTAGGAGGTGTACAGACCCAGACGTGTCTGTCTATGAAGGCCAGATTTTAGCCACTATAATATATTGTATCCCAGGATGATTTCTATTTCAGAATTATTGGCTAGTCAGAAGTACTGAATTAGAGTAAAGTCAGAATTGCACTATTTGACAACCTGGAGCTATAAAGAATATCATGATATGACTTTAAGTTCATTACAATACAACTTAAAGGAATCAAGTAGTTTGTCAAGGGCCTGGCAGAGTAGTGGCAGATCTAGTATTAGGTATTAAAATGTTAGCCAACTAGCTTGCTAGCAACTTTCATTTATTTAGGCTTTTAATTTTGGATTCGAAGGCTTGAGTACTGATATATTTGAGAACATTAAATAAGTCATACATTTCATGTTATATGTTCTTTATCCAAAAATCTATGTGTACAATTAATGAAATTTTCTTCTTTGTTTTAATGCAGTGGAATGTATCCTGCTTTCATCTTGGAGTTCACCTGTGTGGCTTGGATTTATCACAGTAGCATTTGTCTTCAATCTGTGTGTTAACTAGAAATCAAGGAAAGACATGAGGAGATTTGTCTACTGCAAGGTGGTTCTAGCCACTTCGCTGATGTGGGTTCTTGTTGATGTCTTCTTACTGCTGTACTTCAGTGAATGTAACAAATGTGATGACAAGAAGGAGAGATCTCTGCTGCCTGCATTGAGGGGTAAGTGCTTATGAAGCAAATACTGTCTTTATAGAGATGAGAAAAGTGGTGCCTTGACAAAATGAGAAACTTCAGAATCAGAAGAGTTTTGCCTTAGTGAGTTAGAAGAGCATTTTGGCAGCACTATTAATGCATGTTTAACCATGGGGAAGTTACTTTACCTTTCTTGGTCTTAGGCGTCTTCTTGGAAGAAATAAGAAGAGTTAGCTAACCTCTAAGATACCGTTCAACCTAATAAATTCTGGTGTTCTGTGACTGTATGAAAAGAACAGTTGAGTGAACGTTCAAACTGGGCAGAATTTTAAATCTAGGCTGCTAGAAGCCAAAAGCCTTTAAAGACCAAGCACATAACATAAAACGGAAAAACCACTAAAGTGAGACAGGTGGCGATTTTAGCAAACGAACTGTGCATGAATGACACCGCTAAAGACTTCCAAAACAGTTGAAATAAAACAACCAATTTTTAAAACAAAACACATGGCGGTATGCAGATTTACCAGATTGCTGGCTGTATGTTAAGTGAAAAAGATAATTTCAAGTATACTGTAAAATTACTTTATTTCAGTATTTTCCTCTTGAGGGACCAGTTTCAAAGACTAAATATGAATGTAAACATAATAATTTGTATGAATGGTTATTTATCAAGTAAAGCCATAGAGATTTGTTTTCTGTGAAGTTATTCCAGTTTTCTCTATGCTTTCTTTTTTGTTAACTTCAAGATCTATAAATATATTTCTAATGTATTCCTAGAAAATTCAATACTTCTAAAATATGTAAGAGTACTCAAAATTAGTTTTATTCTCATTGAACTAACATATTCTCTGTTTGGCAAAAGTTTTCTGCATAAATATGACAAAAAGCAAGCTTCAATTGAAGTATCATGACATGTTTGTACCTTTTGGAAAAGTGAATCTAAATTATCAAGTTGAGATTTACATTTATTTAATGAATATGATCTGCTTTTAATGTTATACATATTTTTGAGATATTTATTGAACAAAATATTTAATAAACAGAATCTCATTAACACTATCAGGTTACATGAAATTTAGGGAAACAGAAGAGCATTTCCAAAATTTAATTTTTGTTCAAAGAGTACTTTAGACATGTTGAGTTTGCTTTAGATTGCAAATCAAAGATTACTTTAGACATGTTGAGTTTGCTTTAGATTACAGAAATACTCTTGTTCATTTAGAGAAATTCTGAATCTTCTGAATCGCTTCCTTGTCTTTTAAAATGGAACTTGCATTTTAGATTTTGACTAATACAAATAATTTAAAAAAATTTGCAAGTGACTGATGCTAGACCCATTTAGGTAGTTTACATGCATTTTTTATGCCTTTATACTTCAGTTATTCTGAGAGGGGAACATTATAAGTCCATGTTTTTGACAAATGAACATGGGGAATGATTTGCTGATCTTTAGTTAAAACCCCAGAATTAATCAGCCTTCTGAGCTTCTTTGTCAGAATCAGTTGAGTTGCTGCTTGGCTGAATGTAGAAAAGTGTTTTTGATGGATTACATCAGTTTGGAATGATCACTCTGTCATTTGTTGAAGGAAACCATCTAGGTTGGTCACATACAAAAAATGTAATAATCTGATTCAGCAAAACTTTGATAGCCTTTTCTGCCAGTAACACAAAGGTACAGTTTTGCTGATTTATGTCCTTAATGCTCCTTAAGTCTTAAATCTCAAAATGTGAAATTTAACAATGCAAGGCAAAAATAACTTTTCCTTGTACTTAAATTGTAAAATTAAACTATTGTTCTCTTTGTTGATAAGACTTGTTATTTTACTTCATTCAGGTTGTTAAAAAAATATAGACTTGGTGGCTAACAAGGAACAGACATTTATTTCTTACAATTTTGGAGGCTGGGGATTCCAAGATGAAGGTGCTAGCAGATGCAACGTCTGATAAGGGGCTGTTCCTTGTAAACAGCTGTCTTCTCACTAACCTCACTAGGCAGAATAGTTGAGAAATCTCTCTGGGGCATATTTTATAAGGGCACTAATTGCATTCATGAAGGTTCCACCTTCATGACTTAATCACCCCCCAAAGGCCCTATCTCCTAATATCACTTTGAAGGTTAGGATTTCAGTATATGAATTTTGCAGAGACACAAACATTCAGTACATTGTACTACTTTAAAGTTTTATATTAATACTATTTGTCTGGAATAAATGGAAAATAGACTTGAGGGTTTTAATTTCATTTTCAGTTGTCACTTGTTATTTCAGAATTTTTACTTTAGGAGTTTGCACCTTGTTTTCAAAATATTTTATTTGTAAGCAGATGATGCTGTGCAAAGTGTACCTAACTGAAATTTTCACATTTTAGGTCTGCTAAAAACAGGCTTTTTTACTTAAAAAAAGATCCTTCTGGACCTGTGCATCTCCATTATTAAAGCAAAGGTTTTGGAGTAGGCAGTTTCTAAGTTCCCTTATATGTCTAAATTTTAAACAATTCCTAAGGACCCAATATTAACATACACTGTTAATGAATTTTTGACATATTTTCATTCATTCACTCATTCATTATTTATTAAGTTCTTACTCTATGCAAATCCTGGGGATATAACTGAGGTCCCTGATGTTTGGGACATAAGGGAACAAGGCTCCCACCTGCCATGGAGCTTAAAGTCAAATATATAGTAAACATTTTTGTCTTTCTGTATGTATTTATGTGACTGTGTGTGTGTGTGCGTGTAATCATGTGCCATATAATGATTTTTTGCTCAACAACTGACTGCATATATGATGGTGATCCCATAATATTTTAAAGTAATGATCACTGATGTTGAGTTTTTTTTTTTTCATATGATTGTTGGCTGCACATATGCCTTCTTTTGAGGAGTGTCTGTTCATGTCTTTTGCCCACTTTTTGGTGGTTTTTTTTTCTTGTAAATTTGTTTTAAGTCCCTTATAGATGCAGGATATTAGACCTTTGTCAGATGCATAGATTGCAAAAATTTTCTCCCATTCTGTAGGTTGTCTGTTTACTCTGTTGTTAGTTTCTTTTGCTGTGCAGAAGCTTTTTTGTTTAATTAGATCCCATTTGTCAATTTTTGCTTTTGTTGAAATTGCTTTTGGTGTCTTCATCATGAAATCTTTTTCTGTGCCCATGTCCTGGATGGTATTGCCTAGGTTGTCTTCCAGGGTTATTATAGTTTTGGGTTTTACATTCAAGTCTTTAATCCATCTTGAGTTAATTTTCCATATAGTATAAGGAAGGGGTCCAGTTTCAATTTTCTGCATATGCCTAGCCAGTTCTCCTAGCACCATTTATTGAATAGGGAATCCTTTCCCCATTGCTTATTTTGGTCAGGTTTGTCAAAGATCAGATAGTTGTAGGTGTGTGAACTTATTTCTGGGTTCTGTATTCTGTTCCATTGGTCTATATGTCTGTTTTTGTACCAGTGCCATGCTGTTTTGGTTACTGTAGCCCTGTAGTATAGTTTGGTGTCAAGTAGAATGATGCCTCTAGCTTTGTTCTTTTTGCTTAGGATTGCTTTGACTTTTGGGCTTTTTTTGGTTTCATATGAGTTTTAAAATAGTCTTTTCTATTTCTGTGAAGAATGTTAATGGCAATTTAATGGGACTAAAAAAAAAAAAGCTCAACATGACTGATTATTAGCTAATTGCAAATCAAAGCCGCAATGAGATTCCATCTCACGCCAATCAGAATGGCTATTACTAAAAAGTCAAAAAATAACATATGCTGGCAAGGTTGTGGAGAAAAAGGAACACTTCTTTCCTGTTGGTGGGAGTGTAAATTAGTTCAACTATTGTGGAAGACAATGTGGTGATTGATTCATCAGAGACCTAAAGACAGAAATACTATTCAACCCAGCAATCCCATTATTGTATATACCCTAAGGAACATAAATTGTTCTATTATAAAGAGACATCCATGCATATGTTCATTGCAACACTATTCACATTAGCAAAGACATGGAGTCAACCTAAATGCCCATCAATCATAGGCTGGATAAAGAAAATATGGTACATATACACTATGGAATACTATGCGCCATAAAAAAGAATGAGATCATGTCCTTTGCAGGGACGTGGATGGAGCTGGAGGCAGTTAGCCTTAGCAAACTAATGCAGGAACAGAAAACCAAATAGCTCATGTTCTCACTTATAAGTGGGAGCTAAACAGTGAGGACACATGGACACGTAGACAGGAACAAAACACTCTAAGGTGGAGGGCAGGAGAAGAGAGAAGATCAGGAAAAATAATTAATGAGTACTAGGCCTAATACCTCGGTGATGAATAAGTGTGTACAACAAACCCAAGTGACACATGTTTACTGATGGAACAAACCTGCACATGTGCCCCTGAACTTAAAATAAAAGTTAAACAAATTATAACATTTTACTGTACCTTTTCTATGTTTGGATCTGTTTAGATACACAAATACAATTGTGTTATAATTTCCTATAGTATTGAGCATAGTAACATGTTATACAAGTTTGTAGCCTAGGAGCAATAGGCTATACCATACAGCCTAAGTGTGCAGTAGGCTATACTATTTAGTCTTGTGTAAGTACATTCTATGATGTTTGCACAATGATGACATCGCCTAGTGATGCACTTCTCAGAACACTTCCCCATCCTTATGCAACGAATGACTGAATATATATTCAACTGAAAAGGAAAAGTAAGTTAGAAATGATTATAAAACATAATTGATATTAGGATCAGGAAGAAGAGGACACTGGATCTAGAGTATTAGATAAAATTTCTCAAGCCAGGCATGGTGGTGTGTGCCTGTAATCCCAGGTACTCAGAAAACTGAGGTGGGAGGATTGCTTGAGTTCAGGAGTTTGAGTCCAGGCTGGGCAATATAGTGAGACTTCATCTCAAAAAAGAAAAAAAAAAACCTTCACAAAGGCTGTAACATTAAAATTGAGGTTTACAGCATAAGAGTAGGAAATAACTAGTAAAAAGCAAAAAAATACTAAAATTCTAATAGAATGATAAAGATTCCAGAAAGCCCAGGATACTTGTAAAGGAGAAAAATACAGAGTGGGGATGTGGCAAGTAACAGCTCTTAAAATTTAGTGTAATTAAGGCTATATAATTGGAACAGAGAAGCACAGGGGGAGACAAATTGTCCAAAGGAAGAGAATTAGCCCTCTGATGGCGAACCACATGTGTACATATGTTTGGAACATTCTTTATATGACAGGAGAGGCACTGCAGATCAGTGGGGAAAAGAGAGGCTGTTCAATAAATGGAACCGAGAATAAAGTGGCAATCCATGTGGAAAGAGATGAAATTGGATGCCTAACTCATGTCATGAAGTTTGGATTTAGGACTTAAATGTCAAAAACAAAATTTAAACTTTAGCAGAAAAATATTTAGACATCTATAAGACCTTGGAATAAAAAAATTCTTAAAACATAAAAAAATTACTGCAAAAAAATTGATAAATTTGACTATGTTAAACTTGAGAAAGTTAGTTCATTCAAATGTACCTTAAAGAAGATAAAAAGAGAAGTTAAAAATCGTAGAATATATATAAAGCAAACGCAACTGACCAATTATTAAGTACGTATAAGTAACTTGATTGTTATATATATCAAGTATATATAAAATTTTTTCTATAATTAATAAAAAAGCCCAAATAACCCAATAGAAAAAAATGGGCAACAGAACTGAAGTGACACTTCATAGAAAATGAAACACATATAGCAAATAAATTTGTGAAGAAATAATTAACATGAACTTTACTTGGAAAAATGCAGATCAAGGCTACAGTGATATATCACTTATATTTAGTCAGTTGGCAAAAACTATAAATGGCTGATAATACCAATTGCTAAAGGTGATGTGTCTCTACATTTTTATAATAACTTCAGATAACAGTTGGACATTATCTCTGAAATCTGAACATTCATATATAACTCAGCACTTATAGTCATATACCCAAGAAAATTTTTCACATAAACAAAATATCCATAGCACTATAATTCATAAAAATAAAGCCTGAAAATAATCCATAGATCTATTAATGGAAAAGTTGATTAATAAATGTTGGTATATCAATACAAGGAGATCTTATATAGTAGTTTAATAGTTACTATGAATGCACTTCAGAGACTTCCATCAACATGATTGAATCTTGAACATATAATAGTAAATTATGTACAAAAACTACCTATTGAGTACTATGTTCACAGCCTGTGTGACACGATAATTTGTACCCCAAACCTGAGCATCGCACAATATATCCATGTAACAAACTTGCACATGTACCCCGAATCTAAAATAAAATTATAAGAAAGAAAAAAGTTGTATCCTTCAAAGATTATATACAGTATAATACTGCTTAAAACACTAAAAGTAACTAAAATTTAAAAAATGTAGTATTTAAAAATATAGAAAAATACAACAAAACTTTACAAAAGCCAAAAAAGACTAATTATGAATATGGGAATTAGGATGTTGTCTGTCATGTGTACGGGAAATTGGGGTGTGAGATGGGGGTGAAAATTTTGACTGACTGTAGGGTATTATTACAGTCCTAGATTTGATTTGGATATGGGTTTGATGTGTCTTTTTCTCTATGTGGATAACTAAATAAGTGAATAAGATACACTGAATGGATTTTAAAAGTGGGAAGCCACTGAATGGACTTAAAAATCAAAGCAAACAGGATAAGAGTTGTGTCACAGAAAGATTGCTGTGGATACAATGTAGAGAATGGATTAGAGAAGAGCTATTCTTTCCAGGAGGTCTGGGTAGGAGTCTGTGGCAGTATTCCATGTATTCTGTGTAGGAAATGATGTCTGCTTAGAGCAAAATAGTGCAAAATGAGGTGTAAGAGGAGTAGGTAAAACCAAGAGGCATTTAAGATATGATATTAAGAGAGCTGGATTGCTTGCTTGATTCTGGCAGGTGTAGGAGAGGGGAGTGTCAAGGTCAAGTCTCTGGATTTTTGCAGAAGTTTGTTTGATCCAATTTCCTGAGAGAAGGAAGGATGTAGGAGATGATTTGAGGGTGGACTTTGAGTTTGTTTTGGACACGTTGAGTTTGATATGCCTGTTAGGGCTCTGAAAGGAACTGTTCAGTAGGAAGTTGGCTATATCCTTAAACTCTAAATATCAAACTTGAAAAAACAGTCACTTTAATGGACATTTTTCTAAAATGGATTACATTCTGACCTTTTATTAAAGTGAAGTTTATGGACTGTAATGGAATCTTTGTTACAGAGTCAGTATTATCATTTTACACATCAATTATTGAATGATGTTGTAAAAAAGAAATGATTTCAGTGACTTTATGGGAGCATGTAGTTCTATTCCAATATTAGATACAGACCCATGAATGCTATTTGTTTTTCTGTTTTTTAAAGGACTGCTCTTGGGCAACATAAGTACTTGTTAGGGGATGATATTAACCCTTTCGTGCCACTCTGATGCCACCTGGAATTAAAGTGCACTAAAGATATTTCTGACTCCTAAATGGTATGGAATACTAAGTGCTGCTACTCCTAATTTGGCAGAGTTAGAATAGGTATTTGAGAGAATAGGTATTTAAAAAGCCCAATGATGCCACAGTGCACCTGCAAACACTTTGTGGAAATTTGAGGGCATGTGGTAGGTTTGCATGGGCGTTATGACATAGTGGATCCTTGTCCTGGCTCCCCCACTCATATTCTCAGGCAAGTAGATTAATCTCTCTGGGCCTCAGTTGTAATATGTAATATGAAATGAATATGAATCATGATTTTTAAAATCATGCCAGTCTGAAGTGAATGATTATATGTTTCTAGCTTTAAGAAAATAAGCCTATAGTAAACCAGCTATTTTATTATCTAGCCTTTGGTTAGTCTACAGATAATATTTGGTTTGAGATGAGAAATGGTCATGCAGAGAAGACACAATGGGAAAGGATCTGCTTAGAAACTCCGGAGGTTTCTTATCATCACAGAGGGCAAAAGGGATATGATGTTATGATATGTATTACTCACAGAGTTATCTAGAGGGACAGAACTAATAGGATAGATGTATATATAAAGGGGAGTTTATTAAGGAGTATTGACTGACACAATCACAAGATGAAGTCCCACAATAGGCTATCTGCAAGCTGAGGAGCAAGAAAGCCAGTCCGAGTCCCAAAACCTCAAAAGGAAAGCTGACAGTGCAGCCTTCAATCTGTGGTTGAAGTTACAACAGCCCCTGGCAAACCACTGGTGTAAGTCCAAAAGTCCAAAAGCTGAAGAACTTGGAGTTCAATGTTCGAGGGCAGGGAGCATCCATCACGGAAGAAAGATGAAGGCCAGAAGACTTAGCCAGTATAGTCCTTCCACGTTCCTCTGCCTGCTTTTATCCTAACCATGCTGGCAGCGGATTAGATGGTGCCCACTCAGATTGAGGGTGGGTCTGCGTCTCTCAGTCCACTGACTCAAATGTTAGTCTCTTTTGGCAACACACACACACATACACCCAGGATCAATACCTTGCTTCCTTCAATCCAATCAAGTTGACACTCAATATTAACTGTCACATGATATTCTAGAAGGGAAGGAAACCTACCTTTCTTTGTCTTATTCTGAACCTTAAACATATGACATATGCATAGGAAATGAAATGAAAGTTACTTGAAAAAAGGGAAATAGCAAAGCAAGAATTTCTGATTCTATAGAAAAAAGATACATACATTAGTCAATAGTAATAACACAATAATAATTTTAAGTATTAACTATTCTAAATTATTTACAAGTGCTACAACTAACACTACAAGTGTTAGTAAATTCTCACAAAAAAATCTGTAAAGTTGGCATTATTATTATTATTATTTTACATGTGAGGAACTGAGACAAAGAGAGGGTAAAGAGATCTGCCAGAACTTTTACAACCAATGGAATGAGCTTTGGTTATTATAGTGTAAGTTCACAAAATGATTCTGTCATCAGTAAATACCGGTTTGCATTGGAATTCAAGTACTGTGTTTTCATTTGGATACCAGTGTGGAGATACACATTCTGAAAACTCCGTGTTTTGTCTTTACTCTCAGAGACATTCTACACCCTCCAGGTCTCCCTAGCCTGTAGGATGTGTAAATCTCAGCCAGGAAAATATTTACTAGTGATCTTTCTGCTTGCAGATAATTAGTAAGACAGTTATCACCTTCTCTGGCATTTTAAGTTGCTCTTATTCACTTTTGTCCCTCAGACCTCCCCAATGCTGCTCTGAATTGGGGGAAATCAAAATGAGTGGAATTGCTGACCAATGACTTCAGTTCAAAACATTTACATTTTTCTTGGTGCTGCCAGGGAGGCTAAGGTTTCTTCTCATAAATCCAGGGAGACAGATGGCCTTGCTCTCTTACATGTTTGGCAAAAGGCTGTTGTGTCAGCCTTTTCTATTTTTGTTTTTTAAAATTATCTCCTCCTTATAGCCATGCACTCATTTATTAAACAGCAAATGTTTGTTGATTTTGTCTGATTAATCTTTGGTGCTTTGGGGAAGAATTCCTATGTTTACATAAGGGAGAACTAAAGAATTAAAGCAATAAATTAAATTAAAGCAATAAAACTAACAGCAAATTTTTAAAATATATGGCTTCATCTTTTGCAAGATAGGTAGAGGGTATGATTGATTAAAATGCATTGTCAGTATTGGAATTGCCCTTAATAAGTTATAATGACCACTGGAATGTTGAGATTATAATATTTATAATTGTAAAACAGTGGAATATACCAACACAATTGATTTGGATTAAGGGCATATATGTCCCGGATAATTTTCAATCAGTTCTATATACAGTTTCCCAAAATTAATAGGCCTTATAAAATTTTGACCGCTGATATTTGCTTTGCTCTTTCATACTCTTATCCACAATTCACTCTGACCCTTCTGCTCTTCTACATGGGCATAGTAATGTCAGGAATAACAATTAATTATAATCAAGATCACAATTTATTTATTTTAATAAATAATTATAGTTACTATAATAATAATTTATTATAATAAATAAATAATGAAAAATTATTAGGTTTACTGTGCTAGGTGCTTTACAAGCAATATTTTGAGTAACTTTAAAAGCATCATTAAAAGGAGGTACTATTATTATACCCATTTACAAATGAGAAACTGGGCTATGGAAAGATTATTTAAATTCCCCAAGGTTACAAACCTCTGCAAGGACTCACAGCTGGTTTGTCAGACTTTTGAGCCCATATGTTGAAACGGTAGACTGTGTTGTGCCCCTGACCCAGGCATGCCTAGACTCCTTTTTGCCAAAGTAATCATAACATTTATATACTATGTATGAACTATTTATACAAACACGAGTATTTCTGGAGGATGTAGAAAGAGGTGGCCACTGACTTCGGGTAAAAAAAAAAAAGTCTTATTTAATAGAAAAGTGAAAAGTACCTTTGCCAGGCTCACCTAGCCTTATTTTAGACTAGCAATTTTGCATTTATTGAGTCTCTAGAGCACACTGATTAATTTAGATTGCAGTTTTTCTCAGCAGTGAGTTTTGGGGTCAACCTAACAAGTCTTAGAAAAAATAGTTAAAAATTGAAAGCAATAGTGAAACACCAGTTTTTCCCCAAAGCTTAATAAAAATATTTGATACCATTCATTCATTCAGTAGAGGTACTGGAGATTTGATGTGCTCATAAATAATAAATTACAAAACAGAAAGTGGTACCTGCTGTAAGAGAAGCACCAAATAAACTTGAATAAGAGTTAAGAGGCCTTGAAATATGGGAGTTTTATGGACATGTGAAAATTGGAAGGGAAGAGATAGCAGAAGAAAGTGAAGTACCAGGAGAAGCATCTTGCCTTTCCCAAAATATGGATATGAGAAATCAGTGAATTAGTTGATAGGAGCAGAATCAGTCATAAAAGGGTTTCTAGATTTTAAGTTGAACATCAGGAGAAAGATTTTAAAGGGCTGAGTGCTGGGGAAAGGAATTTTAACCTTGTTCTTTACGAAAAGGGATCACTGATGGTTTCTCTAAAAAAAGTGTGGATTTGATGCAGGACTGGCAAGCCCCAGAGTGGATCTTAGCCTGTAAAGGTTCTCAGTTTTGCCCAGGAAAGAATTCAAGGGCAAGCCAGAGGTGGAAGAAAACAGTTTTATTGAACAGTGTTACAGCTCTGGTGGGGTTACAGCTCTGTGACTGGCAAGGAGTGCTTGCCAACCTCCACTCTCATCTGGCCGAGAACATCCAGCTGACTACAATTCCCCTGACTTGAAGTCCTCTGGCTCTGGGGGCCCTACCAAGGGACACGATGGACCCAAAGCAGGCAGCACACTACCGTAGCATTGGTACAGGACAAAATAAGAGCTTGGCCATTGACACTGCCTTCAGCACACCCTGGCAAAAAAGGTGGGCTACAAAACAAAACCCAAAATCCATAGGCCAAAGGGAATGGAGTTGGGCAAGCACCTGCCAGCCTCAAAACCCTTCTAAGCAAAAACCAAAAGCCAAAATGAGGTTACACATTGAGGAACACCAATAGCATAGAACTAAGTTATGTTGGGAGAAAACACTGTTCCCACAGACCTCTAAGACAAAATACTTTAGCATTAGGCACAACAGCAGTCATAATCAGAGGAGAAAAACTCAAAGGAGCTGACAAAAAAACTAATGGAGAGAGCTACATGAATCTCAGAAGCTTTCAAAAGAAGTAGATCACAGGATTGAAAATAAAAATTTCTGGTAATTTAGCAAATCAATACCTTAAGAAAATTTGGTTCAGATATAGAGACCATTTTCTAAAAAGCCTGTTATAGACAGTTTCCTTTTAATACTTCCATACATTCTCCTTTACTAACTTTTCAAGACTTATGCAGATCATCTATAACATGCTAGAATGTTCTGACTTGTCCTATGCTGCCTATTTCTTAAATAACCAGTCATTTTACTCTAGGGCAAGAATTTACTATACGAGATCCCTTCTCTTATAAAATTACTCTTTCTTTATATCATTCCTTGCAAAATAATAATAAATCTTCTATTCATGATGTTCTCTACATCTCTCTTTTTTACTCACTGGTTCCCTCATATTTTGAACCTCCCTTTTAATAACTACCAAATTAGACAAAATTATTTTTCCCAATAAAGAATACATTTCTTTGGCACATTTTATGTAAACCTAGGGAGGAAGAAATCCTAGCCCACCAGACACTGGCATTCTATAGATAAGAATCATTCTATCACTTTAAGACGTTAAACCACATAATACGCTCACTATTTAAGCATCTATTCCATTCTTTCACTTTTAACAGTTTTATGTAGACTATCTCCGAGAACCAAGTTGCTATGCAAATCTAGTCACCATTTAAAGCCATTTTAACCATTTTAAAGCCTATATCAGTGATTTACCAAAGTAAAAATCTTAATGTCAAATTTCAGAAGATGTAACATTATCTTCAAACTAATCAACTTTGACTAGTCATTTAATTTATGAAGATTATTTATAAACCAATTTGATAGCATGCTAGACAAAACATATATCACAATACTTGTATATATGCCTAAACAAACACATTAAATAAAGTTACCTACACAAGACAACTGGATTCAAGTTATTTACAAAATTGGGACCATCTACTTGGCCAAATTTTGTTTGCCTCAATAGGTTTGAAAACAGGAAGAGGCAGGGAAAGGGATCCAATAGCATCAAATTAGAAAGGGAGGTAGCAAACAGCATTGCTCAAGGGGAGACCCTGGAGACCCCGAACTACCAAAGAGCGCAACCAGCAGTGGAGTCACTGAAGAAAAATGTTCAGGCAGCTGCTTGTCTGCCACTGTGGGAAGCCATCTGCAGGGACAATGGTCCAAGACTTCCAGTAAACTTACTTGAGTAAGACAGTTTGTGGGGGCTAGTAGAAGAAGGTTAGCTCTAGAATTGATGGAGAGCCTTTTTTCTCTCTCTTACCAGGGACAGTTAGGACATGCTTATTGCCAAGGGCCCTCTTGCTTAAAGCAGGTGCACTGATTCTGGCCCAGGGGCAGGCAAGTTGGGGGCTCTTGTCTAGGCATCCCATCCCAGATGCCAATTTCATAACATTTTCTCATGATAGATAACTCTTAGGGGGCAGGGGACTTAGGCAACTGCTAACAATTGTACTTTTTGGCTATTTCTTTTTCTTTTTTTTCCTATTGCCCTGAGATAGTTCTCTAACTGTGTCGTAATTGACTGGCTTACCCATATACTTTTTCCTTTGCTTTTTTCCCACAGCAGAGCAAGTAGATTATTTGTAAGTCATGATGAGTTAAATCAAAGAACATGGTCAACTTAACAAACTCCTCTATACACTTTACTGGATTTTCTGAAAACTTTCTATGTTTTTCCTTGTGTAAAGCCAAATTAGACATAGAAAATGGCACATGTACTCTAAGTATTCCCTCACTTCCGTTAGGTATCTCCTGCAATGGACACAGGTTTGACTTTAGATGCTGGTATGGGGCTGACTCCTGGTGGTACTGGTTGGGCTTACTTTCTGGGGCAGCAAGGGGTATAGGCTGAGGCTAGTTGGATAAGGATGAGGTGTGCCTGATGTCCTTGGGGTACAGTCCTTCATTAGAGAACTGGTGGGACCCCTCCCCAACCCACTGAGAGTTGGGAGACTGAGGAGACCCTGGAGGGGGAGTAGGCCTCCAAGGGGAAGCAGCTGGGAGGGGATCCTTTAGGCATGAATTTCTGTTGCCTGGAAGTAACATGAGCCAGTAAAGGTCTATAAAAGCCTGTACATAAGGGACCTCTTCCCGTTTTCTTTCAGTTTTAGAAAAGAAGTCTAATTGTAAAGTATCATTATAACATATAGAACCATGTTTAGGCCAAATGTGTTGGTTTGCCACTTTGTGTCGAACGCAAATATTATTGCCATACTAAATGAGTTTCTTCTTCTTTTAGCCAAATTTGAATTTGCTCCATTGGCCTAAAACATACCCCAGTGGTGGGTCCTCTGGGATGCTTGCTGTTGCACCCATGTCTAGTAAGGATCTCTACAGAGGGTTTTGGTTAGCCTAAGTTTAGTAAATGCCAAGTTGCTTTTTCCCTTTTACATTCCCACTTTTCATAGGTAGCAAGGTGTTACAAATTAGATCCCAAGCTACAAAAAGGCAGTGGGATGTTGAACTTAAATTCCACAGAGAGAGGGTTACACAGAAAGGGAGGATAAACAAATGGCTGTGGAAGAGAGAAAGGAAAGGGTAAACAGCATTGCCCAAGGGGAGACCTCAGAGGCCCTGAATTGCAGGAGAATTTACCCAGTAGTGGAGACACCAAAAACAAAAATATTTGGATGGCCACTTGTCTACTGCTGTAAGTGGCTGTCCATCAGGCCAGGGGCCTAGGAACTCCCAGTTCCTTTGGCCAAGAGGGGCTTAAGCAAGGCACTTGTTAGAAAGCACACAGGAAGGGACTTGCAGCTGGCTGTTGGGAAAATAATACTTCTAACTCTAAGGGCAGAAAAAGGCAAGACCAATATTCCCCTAGGGGGAGGGGCTATAACCCACCATACTTAGAAAGAATGTCAGTGCTGAAAATCCCAGAGCATATTGGGGGGTGGCCAAAAATACTAATGCTGAAAACCCAGAGTTACTGAGTGTCAACCAATGAGGGTCCCCTCACCAAATGCTGAAAACCTTGGGGGCAATCAGGGGGCAGCCAACAGTGAACCCAAGACCAAGTTGGGGGTCACAGAACAGTGTGACTCTGGCATCCCAGAGTCAACACAACAGGGGACCTCTAACAACCAAGTGTACTGCCTTAATTGTCCACTCACAATTAACAGAACGTTTAAAGCAAATGTAAGAGTGCACATCAAACACATTTTAAGGCATAAATCATTTAAGAAAATAAAACAAATGGTGGAGCAATAAAATGGAGTTAGAAGACAAAGGACTTGGAGAAGGGGTGACAAGGACGTGTTTCAAGGCACCGAAACTGTGAGGAACTGACAACTTAGCCAAAGGCTTTTATTCCCTAGCTTTACCAAATATTATGAAAGGAAGGGCAGAGGGGATACCACCCATTCAGCAGAAATGGCACAGACTGTGGGACCTGGTGAAGATCTCTCCAGGATACCTCAGCTTGGGTGAGTTTGGCAGGGCTGCCTCAGAGGGAGAGGCCTGCACCAATTTGGTAATCCACCCATTACTAGTCAGAGAGGCGGGCCCCACACAAACCAGATGGCACTATGGCTGCCCCCCACCAATGGACTTTACTGCTGGGGTGGGAGAGGCCTGTACAGGCAGGTAACTGACAGGGCTGCCTGTCAGAGAGTTGGGCCCCACACAAAGCAGACAGCCTCACAGCCGTCTCACCGATGGGCTCAGCTGCCACAGTGGGAGGGGCCTGCATGGCCAGTAACCCACTGGGCTGCTGGTCAGAGAGGCAGGTGTCACATGAGGCAGCACACTATGGCTGCTTGTTCATCTGATCAGCTCCACTGCCTGCCAGGGAAAATAGTGGCTCTGGAAAGAGCTTTGGTAGTGACAGACCTCAAGTGTTACAACTCTGTTTTGCTGCCTCTCCGATCCTCAGTCTGCTAATCACTTTTTGCCACCATTGGCTCTGCTGATCAGTGTCCCATGAATCCTGCCAATTGCTGCTTCACTGATTGCTGACTGCTGCCTCATTAATCACCCACTGCCATCTTCTGTCTTTGCCCCATGTTGGGTGCCAAGCTGATGCAGGGCAGGAGAGCCCCAGAGTTGAGCTTAATCCATGAGGATTCTTGGCTTTGCCCAGGAAACAATTCAAGGGCAAGCCAGAGGTAGAAGGAAACAGCTTTATTGAACAGACAGTGTTACAGCTCTGGTGGTGTTGCAGCTCTGTGACTGCTCCTGCAGAGCAGGCCCATCCCATAGACAGAGAGTAGCAGCCAGGGCAGTTTTGCAGTCACATTTATACCCATTTTTAATTGCATACAGATTAAGAGATGAAGGGGTGGTTTATTCAGGGAAGGGGTGGTAATCGTTGGGTCATTGCCATGGAAAGGGTCAGCAACTCTGGGGTATCGCCATGGCAATGGTAAATTGACATTGGCAGTGGTGGGAATGTCTGAGTGAAAGCTTCTTTTTACCTGGCCTTTTTAAGCTGGTCTTCAGTCTGGTCCGGTGTCCGAGGCCTGCCTCTGTAGTTGAGTCTTGCCTCCTATCTCAGATTGATTATTTGCTGATGTTTATAATACAATAGCACTAAAATATTTTAGTATTTATTTAAATAAAGATTCATACTGAAGTTTTATTCATTAATTAAAACCACTCAAATTAATAACTAAATGGAATACTGTCATTTAAAATTTTTACGTTACAAATTAATTGGTAGGAGAAAGAAAGATTTTTGTCCTGTAAAATTGAGTTTAGATATTATTTTTAAAGGTAACTACTCAAGTCCAAATTCATCAAAATGTATACATCAAATATGTATATTTTTGTATATCAGTTATACCTCAATAAAGTATAAAAAAGTAACTACTCAAAAATCTTTACTCATGTAGTATAAGTTGAGACAACTTATCCAAGAAACATTACTTGAATACTGATTGTGACAAAGCCTGGAGATAGAAAGAGGAAGAATACATATTTTTGTTTTCATGTTTAGCAGGGAAGAAAGGAATTTGGAATTAAGTGAATGAAATGTCAGCACATCAATGCTGTACTATTAGGAGGAGAGAGACTCTATGAAATTAAGACCAAAAAATCAATAGATGCTATCTGTCCTTTGAAGGCAAGGTCTAATATTCTTTGTAATATTGAACAGCATATTCTATGCAAATACTTAATAAGTTATTACAGCAATGTAAATATCAGGCAGATATTTTCATTCACGTTTATATAAGGCAAATGCATTAGTTAGTGTAAAGGGAGGTAATACATAATAATAAAGGTAACAGTCTATCAAGAAGACAGAACAATTTTAGACATGTATATACAACACCCTTTATATAAAATTAGGAAAAATTAGAATTACAATGAAAAAATTAGCAGACCCAACTTCATAGTTGAGTATTTAGCAAAATGCTTTCAAAAATTAATAATCTTTAAAAAATGGAAATAAAAGCTATAGAAAACAAAATTTACAAGCTTGAAGATCAAATTTTCAATTCCACAAATACTTGATTGATTAGAGAGTGGGTAACAAAACTGTTTACCAAATTGTCCACCAATAAAATGGGAATGGACAGATTTTATCTCTACTCAGTAGAAATTATTGTAATTAAAGGGCCATGTTGTACAGAGACAACTGGCTATAATAGAATTTTGTCCACTTCTATCTTCATCACCTAAAACAGTGCCTGGCTTATAGTGGGTGCTCACTTAACAATTGCTGATTGAATAACGAATGCATGATAAGTTTGGTACCGTTTTCATGATCATAGAGTAGCCAGTTTATATATATGATTAAGAAACTTGATGTAACTTCATTATCATGGCCCAAATAGGCTTAAAAAATTGTTTACCTTACACACAACCCAAGTGTAAAATATTTTCTTGTGTCTCTTCTTGGCCCATATAATTTGATTTATAGCCCAAATTGGGCACATTTATAGCCTGGAGATGATATTTTTTCCTTCAGAACCTGCCTTATGTTACATTGTATATACTTTCACTTTCTCCACGATATACAGAGGTTTTCATAAGATCATTGCATATTTACATTGTAGTAGTCAATAAGTCAAGAGAGTAAAGCGAGTTCTAGATGGAATAGACGTATCATGTGGAGTATGTGGAATGAATCAGTACATGGAGGACTCAGCAGGAGCACTCATGAAAATAAGATTGAGGAACTTTGAAAAAGATGGAGATAGGTGGTATGTTTGACTTATGTGTAAAAAGCAGCTAATAAATGGAGACAATAGCAAATGAAAATAATAAAGTAATAATGGAAAGTTTTAAGAGTGAGAAATTCAATCAGAAAGGAAAACAACTGAGAGTAAGGTGATTACATTGTAGAACAGAACTCATGGTTTAGCCAATAAGTAAAACTCCATGTAAGTATAGCTTTGGGAATAATTAAGGAACTTATTTCCAAAATCATCTTTATTAAGGTATATTATAAAAAGCTCCATTTTAATTTTACAGTTTCATGAGTTTGGACAAATGGATCTCAGATTTAATCTCACAATCATGACTCCCTCTGCACAATGTCCCTCATACCTCTAGGCAGCCCATTCCTCCACTTGAGGCCTGATAACCACTGATCTGGTTTTTGTGATTATTGATTACTTTTGTCTCTTCTAGCAAATCTTAAAAGTTGAATTGTACTACTCAGCATAAGTGTTTTGAGATTAATAATGTTATTGGGTGTATCAGCGGTTCTGTTGCATAAAAATATTCTGTGGTATGGTTTCTTTGTTTCATGCTGCTATAACAGAACACATGGGACTGGGTAATTATTAAAGAACAGAAATTTATTTCTTACACGTTTGGAGGCTTAGAAAGCCAAGACCAAGGTGCAAGCAGGATTGTTTTCTGGTTCCAAGTTGGTGCTTTGTTGGTTTGTTCTCCAAAGAGGAGGAGCATTGTTGTCTTTATGTGCCACTATAAATCCTATTAGTAGTGGCATTAATTCTATTAATTAGGACAGAGGTCTCACTATCTAAACACCTAAAAGTCTTCACCTCCCTATACCTCCATACTGGGAAACATTTAGACCATAGCATATGGATGGAGTACAATTATCTTTATTCTTGCACTGGCTGGTGGACATTTAGGTCGTTTCCATCTTTTCATTATTATGAATAAAGCTGCTACATTCATACACAAGTCTTTGTGTGGACATATGTTTTCACAACTCTTGGGAAAATACCAAAGGATGGAAGTGCTGAGTCATATGCCAAGTGTATGTTTAATTTTGTGAGATACTGCCAGTCTGTTTTCCCAAGTTGTTAGACTATTTTCTATTCCCATCAGCAATGTAGGAAATATCTAGTTACTTCACATCCTTGCCAACACATCATAGCCAGAATTTTAAATTTTAGCCATTTTACTGAGTTAATTGTGGTATCTCATTGTGATTTTGACTTGGATTTCGTGATAACTATTGATACTGAGCATCAATTTCTCTCTCTCTCTGTCTCTCCGTCTCTCTCTCTCTCTCTCTCTGTGTGTGTGTGTGTGTGTGTGTGTGTGTGTGTGTGTGTGTGTGTGTGTGTTTGGCCAGACTTGTTTTATGAACTATCTGTTCAATCTTTTGTTCATTTTTAAAATTGGATTGCCTGTGGCTTGCCTTTTTACTTTTCTAAATGAGGTCTATGAAAGAGCAGAAATTTTTAACTCTGATGAAATCTAACGTATTTTTTTATGCTTCTTTTATTGTTCTAGCTAAGAAATATTTTCCAATGCCAAGGCCATGAAAATTCTTTCTGGAAGATTTATGGTTTTAGATTTTAAGATTTGATTTAATTTTGGTGTAGAGGGTGAGGAGGGTTAAAGTTCCTTTTTTTTCCCCCCCAAAAGAAACCCTCCATTCATTCAAAAATATATGCCCCTTGAAGATAAGAAAGGCATGAGTTTTAGAAATAAGAACAGCATTTTTGGCCGGGTCCTAGTGACTCATGCCTGTAATCCCAGCACTTTGGGAGGCCAAGGCAAGGGAATTGATTGAGCTCAGGAGTTTGAGACCAACCTGGGCAACATGGCGAAAAGCCATCTCTACAAAAAATACAAAAATTAGCTAGCCATGGTGGTGCGTGCCTGTAATCCCAGATACTTGGGAGCCTGAGGCACAAGAATCACTTGAACCCAGGAAATGGAGGTTGCAGTGAGCCAAGATCATGCAACTGCACTCCTGCCTAGGCTACAGAGCAAGACTCTGTCTCAAAGCAAAAAAAAGAACAGCATTTTCATATATTTCTCAGTACTCTCTTGTACATTTCTCTGTTACTAATATGAATAATTTAGTTATGAATATTGAGGTTTATTTTTAAAATTCATTATATATTATATGTAATGATATAAAATTCATTAGATAACTTGAAAAGTATGTAATTGTTACAGACTGAATCTTCTCTAGATATTTCATTGAAGGATAATGAAAAATATATTTTGTTAAATTTCTTTCAAAAAAGTACTATTTATTTTTCCTAATAAAATTAATATTCATTGTAGAAAAAAATAAAATTAAAATAAAGAAGAAAATTAAATTTGAATTCCACCTAGATGTTGCCCTCACGGTAAAATGAAATTTACTTTTTAAATTAATATATTATGGGCATTTTGTCTTTCATAAGATATCCTTTAAAAATATGGTTTTAATGGCCACACAATATTTTATCATATGTCTATATGGTAGTATTCATAACTATTTGTCATGAATTTTCATGTAGATTGCACCCAACATTTTACCACTGAATAATGTTATTATAAATATTTTTATGAAGTTATCTTTGAAAATGTGATGAATTTTTTATGTAATGGAAAGGATGTTTCAATATTTTTAAGGATACATAACAGTTTTACATATTTATGAGGTACATGTGATATTTTGATACAAGCATACAATGTTTAATGATGAAATCAGGGTAATGGAGATATGTGTCACCTCAAGCATTTACGATTTTTTTGTGTTAGGACCATCCCAATTCCTCTCTTCTAGTTATTTTTAAATATACAATAAATTATTGCTAACTATACTTGTCCTATTGTACTACCAAACACTATTCCTTTGATCAAAAGTGTATTTTTGTACTCATTAACTAATTTTTCTTTTCTACCCCTACCACATTACCCTTCCCAGCTTCTGATAACCATCATTCTACTCTCTATCTTCATGGGATCAATTTTTTTTAACTCCCAAATGTGAGTGAGAAAATTTAATACTTGTTTTTCTGTGCGTGGCTTGTTTTATTTCAGAGAATCTCCTCCTGTCAGAGGAGAATCTGCGAAGGGACAAATGACATATTCTGCCATTTGTGATTACATATATAGAACAGGACGGTCTTGTTTTTTGGTTGTTTCATAAATCCTTTCTTTTCTTCTTCTTAATGTTTTTCTTTATGGATACATAATTTTATTTGGTAGAAAGTTTTAATTTCTTGGTATTTGTTTTTTGTGTATCTATTTTAGGTTATGCTTTGTAGTTACCATAAGACTTGTAGATATTATCTTATAATCAATGATTTTAAAGCAATGACAACTTTTCTCTGGTCACAATGAAAAGGAAAAAATAAGCAAAAAAAAAACCCAAAAACTAAAAAACTCTACATTTTCATTCCATCCCCCTAACTTTAAGACTTCTGTTGTCTCTACTTATATATTTTATATTATCGATCTCATAACAAATTGTTTTAGTTACTATTTTTGATAGGTTGGTTTTTAGTTTTCCTACTACATATATGAGTGACAGTCTGAAGTTACAGTTTCAGGGTATTCTGTATTTTTTTGTGAACTTACTTTTGCCAGTGAGTTTTATACTTTCATATCATGTTGTATTGCCCATTAGTATTCTTTTGTTTCAGATTGAAGAACCTATTTTAACATGTCTTCTAAGAAGGGTTGATGTTGAAATTCTCCCTCTTTTCTTTGTCTGGGAAAGTCTTCATTTCTCCTAACTGTTCTGGAAACAATACTCAATATTCTAGGTTGGATTTCTTTTTTTTTTTTTTTTTTTTACTTTAGCATGTTGAATATGTCATCCCATTCCCTCCTGACTTACAAGGTTTATACTGAGAAGCCTGGTCCTAGATGTATAAAAGTTTCTTAATATGCTATTTGCTTCTTTTTTTGTTGCTGTTGTTGGGATTCTTTTTTTTTTTGAGATGGAGTCTTGCACTGTCGCCTAGGCTGGAGTGCAGTGGCGGGATCTCGGCTCACTGCAAGCTCCGCCTGCCGGGTTCACGCCATTCTCCTGCCTCAGCCTCCCAAGTAGCTGGGACTACAGGCGCCCGCCAAAACGCCTGGCTAATTTTTTTTTGTATTTTTAGTAGACACGGGGTCTCACCGTGTTACCCAGGATGGTCTCGATCTCATGACCTCGTGATCCGCCCGCCTCGGCCTTCCAAAGCGCTGGGATTACAGGCGTGAGCCACCGCGACCGGCCCCGGGATTTTTTTTTTATCCTTGACCTTTGGGAATTTGAATATTATATGCTTTAAGGTAATCTTATTTGTTTTGAATCTTCTTGGTGTTCTTTGTTGTTCTACCTGGTTATTCGTGTTTTTTCCAGGTTTAGGAAGGTTTATGTTGTCATTTCTACCTTGATCCCTGTCTCTATATCCTCTTTAATAAAATAACTCTTAGATTATCCCTTTTGAGGCTATTGTCTAGATTTTGTGGGATTAGTTCATTCTTTTTTTATTTTTTCACCCCTGACTGTATATTTTCATACAGTCTATCTTCAAGTTTACTAATTCTTTGTTCTGCTTGATCAATTCTGCTTTTGAGAGACTGCGGCATTTTTCAGTTCGTCACTTGAATTCTTCATCTCTAGAATTTTTGCTTGATTTAAAAAAATTATTTCAATCACTTTGTTAAATTTCTCTGAGAGGATTCTGAATTCCTTCTCTGTGTTATCTTGAAATTTGCTGAACTTCCTAAGACAGGTATTTTGAATTTTCTGTCTAACAGGTCACATGTCTTTGCCAATCAAGGATTGGTCACTGGTGCCTTATTTAGTTAATGTGGTGAGGCTATGTTTTCCTAATGTCCTTGATGCTTGTAGATGTTTGTTGATATCTGGGCATTGAAGAGTTAGGTATTTATCACGATCTTTGCAGTCTGAGCATACTTGTACTCATCCTTCTTTAGAGAGCTTTCCAGGAATTCAAAGGGGATTGAGTGTTGTTACCTAAGCTTGTCGTCACTGCAGCTCTTTCAGCAGTAGGTGGCCCCCATAAGCCCAGGAACACTGTGGCTCTTCACTTAATTAAATACACAGTCTTGGTGGATTTGGGGAAGACAGAGTATTCCCTGTGTTCCTAGGCAAAGCCTCTTGTTTTCTGCCCTGTCTTTTCCCCAGGCAAAAGGAGTTTTTCTCCATGTGGCACTGCCTGGAGTTGAGGGAGGGGTGATGTGGGTACTCCCATGGCTCTCACAGCTGGTATCATGAGGAGTCACACCTGAAACCACTGCCTTCCAGAGCAGCACAATAGTGGTGCTCACCCATGGACCACATCTACTACTGTCTGTCTGCCCCGGATATTTTTGTCAAGGCCCAAGGCTACTTTAGTCAGCAGATGGTGATTCCTGCTGAGACTTGGTCCAACCTGTCAGTGCAGTGGATTCCCTTCTGGCCCCTGATGGGTCTAGAAATGCCCTTCAGGAGCAAAGGTCGGGAATTAGGCACTTCAGAAATCTTCCTGATAATTTACTTTGCTGTGAGTGAGCTGGTACCCACGTTGCAAGACAAAGTCCTCTGTACTATCTTCTCTCCTGACCCAAGCAGAAAGAGTCTCTCCCAGTGCTGCACAGCCTACTCTTAGGAGGGATATGACACGGGCACTCACTTGGCCACCACAGCTGGTGTTGCTCTGGTCCGTACCCCAAGTCCACTGCCTCTGAGACCAGCCTAGCACCAGAGCTGGACCAAGGACTGCAGTCACTGTGGCCTGGTTGCCACTCAAAGTTATTTGGAGCCCCAGGCCATTTTAATCAGTCACTGGTAGAGCTGACTAGAATTCAGTTTCCTCCCACTGGGGCAAAGGATACCTCTCAGACCCAGTGGTGTTCTAAGTACTCCGTCTGTGAGCACCAGCAGAATTTTTCCCTGTGTTGTGCTTTACTGTGACAGAATGGCCCTGGCTTCAATGCAAAGTCCCACACTTCCTTTGCTGTCCCTTCTTCAAGCACCCAGATTCTTTCTCCAGGCTGTGCCTCTTGGGGTTAGAGTACGGGTGTTGTAGGCAATGCAAAACTCTTCTTCCTATCCCCTTCAATGCCTTTTTCTTTGTTGCTATGTTGAACCTAGGTATGTGGTCCTTACCTGCTTATCTGGTTTTTATGAATGTGCTTCCTTGCATGGATAGTTGTTGAATTTGATGTTCCTGTGGGCAACAATCTCTAGAGGGTTATTTTGGTCAGTTCGTTCTACCTTCCTCTGAAAAGTAGTTTCTGATTATATTCTTAGACTGGATTATTGGTATTGGATTAAATTTTTAAAGACATGAATATTCTTTTAATTCTCTTGAGAGAAACTTTCACTGCTTTAAATATCCTTGTTTGTAATAGTTTAAAACAATAGTTTAATAGTTTTAATAGTTTAAAAACAAGGCTATTGATCTTCTTATCTCATCATCAGTATGTGTATACATATCTCACCACAGTATTTATCATTTCATTTAAACACATTTGTGAGCTAAATTACTTTAAAATCAGAAATTCTTTGAGTTTTTCTTTTTTTAGTTTTTTCACATTGAATAATTTGATCTGTATATATTTTTATTTAGAGTAATAATGAGGATGAATTTTAATTTTTTGATAATGATTCACTTGTAGCATATATTGAATTGTCTTTGCTCTCATTACTTTTTGTAATGTTAAAATTAACGTGTAGAAAATCTTTATGTATACCAGGGTCTGTATACTTCAAAGTCTGATCCAGATATGATCTCACTTCCTCCATTTTTTGAGGATTAAAGAGGTAAACTAAAAAAATGCATTAGGCATCACAAAGGCCTCTAGAGAAAAATATTAATATACACACCCCATAATTTACCTGAAGTTAATAGTTTAAAAACAAATCTAATTCCTTCAATTAGAAAAACTTAAAAATTTTTTTAAATTAAAAATTACCTAAAAAAATATGTGATTTACTTTTTAGAAGACTTATTCTCCTTTTAGGTTGCAATAACACATGATCTCTATTTAAACATTTTGTTCAATATAGAAAAATAGAAGAAGAATATAAAAGAACTTATAAGTCCAATACATATAGATTGTTACAATTATAATCTTGGTTTATTTTTTATATTTATAATAGAGATCTTGCTTTATTTCATTTTTACATCCTGCTTTTATTGTCTGAATTTATATTTAGGACATTTTCTTACAGTATTAAATTTTCCTTAAACCACAGTTTTACTGACTGTACACTATTCCGCCTATTACAGTTTGCTTAAACATTTTCCTCTGGATTTTCAAAGGGATGATAAAAGTTTAAAAATCTTTCTTTACTAGTTCCTCATTCATAACTATCATTATTTTCTGCCACATAGTATAGTTCTATGTGTTTTCGTTTTCTTCTTTAATCTGTGTGTTATAATTTATTTCATTATTATTTTACTTATTTGGGGCATGCCTAATCCTACTTACTATTTATTATTCAAGATGTGAGCTGGACCTGAAAAGATGGATTGCTGAAGGTGAGAGATTGTTCTTAAGGAAACTGGCACTCTTGTTGAATTTGAAGGTTTATGTGCATTATTATAAACATATTCACCATTATTAGAGCTACCACTTATTAGGTGTTTACTACGTAGCATGCCATGAATTCAAAGCACAAGTGCTGTATCACTTAGTTTTCAAACATCGCTATGGAGAAGTTCAGACAGAATCATCTTGACAAAATTTTCTGTACTCATGGTCTCTGAATTCAGTTCACAGTTTCTTTTGTAAAGATACTCCAAGCAGCTTCTTTTCACCATGACTTCATCAGAAATGCTTTTATTAATACCACTTATTGTTTCCATATTGCTAAGTCCAATGATTCTCAACCTTTATTTTACTTGACTGTCAATAACATCTGAAACAGTTCATCATCCCTGCCTCCTTGTATTGCTTTTGTTACTTGTCTTAGAGGCTGTCACACCCTCCTGGTTTTCTACCTCACTGACGACTTCTTCACAATATCCTTTGCAGGTTCCCTGTCTTCACCTTACCTCCTAAAGTTGAGGTAGGCCAGGAAGCAGAATTAGATTTATCTGTTCTTTTTCTGTACTTATTCCTTTAGTGATCTCTTTGAATATATTGTTCATTTATATGCCTTATCATAAATTTATCACTTCAAACTTTACATAGCCATGTTATACTCCTCTCCTAATTTTTAGACATTTGTGACCAAGGCTTACTTGATATATCTTTTTGGATTCTAAGAAACATCTCAAACTTACCATATCCAAAACTGAATTTCTCATCTTTCATCAAAAGCTTTTCTCTTTGCCATCTTTTCTGTGTCGATTTTTGGCAGTTTCATCACTCCGGCTGCTTAAACCCCAAAATTTCAGATATTCTCAACTTTTCCTTTTCTCTCCCATTTCACATTAGCACATCCTGTTTGCATTATTATATGCAAACTTTCTTTAAAGTATATTTAGAATTCAGACTTAAGTCAGATCATGCCATTCCTCTGCTCCAACATCTTTGCTAGCTCCCCAATACTCAGAGTAGAAACAAAAGTTATTATGATGGCTTACTCAAGTTCTGTGCCTTGAGCACTGGAGTCACATTGACTTTAGGTCTTGGTATTCTCCCCTTATTCATTCTGTTCCAGTCACATTGGCTTTCTTGCTATTCTTGCAATGTGGCAGGTATATTTCTACCTCAGTACCTTTGTCTTGCTAACTCTTCTGTATGTAATGTTCTTTCTCCAGTTTACTTCATGTCTTAATTTTCTACCTCACCTTATTCAGGCATTATCTCAAATGTCAGTGACTCAGTATAGCCCACATGGCCACACTATTTGAAAAGGTAAATTGTTCCCCATCTCTACACTCGCTGTCCTTCTTCTCTGCCTTGTTTTTTTACCACTGTATTTTTCACTGCATGACATATTATGTTTTACTTATTTACATTCTTTCTTTTCTAGTCTCCCTCTCTGCCCAATAACAATCCTGTAAGTCTATTTTACTGCTGTATCTCCAGTGTCTAGAAGCGCTTGACACATCAGATATGTGAATGAGGGAAGGAATACTGAGTGAATATTTGCTTAATGCTGTCATGATAGAAGAATCTGCAGAGCAAGAATTCAGCTTTTGTTCCAATAATAATTTACCACTAGAGAGACTTATTTCAAGAATTTAACTAGAAATCTATATACAACATAAACAGAATATAAGCATGCAAAATTTATAGAGAAAGCATGAAGTTTTCCAATATAGGTTTTCCAACAACTGAAAGCTTCACAAAATTTGCTTTTATGATGTAATTTTATAGTGCTGATAAAAATGCATGCATTCTTATAACCTGTAAATCTTTTCATATTTTATGCAAATTGATAAAATATATCATAACCATTATAATAGGTTGAATAGTGTCCCAGAAAAAAAATCATGTCAACCTGGACCCTCAGAATGTAACATTATTTGGAAATAATGTCTTCTCAGATGTAATTAGTCAAGGATTGAGATGAGATCATACACAATTAGAGTAGGCTCTAAATCCAATGACCAGTGTCCTCATAAGAGGAGAGAATGCAAAGAAGTACATAGAAGGGAGAAATTTATGTGAAAATGAAGGCAGAGAGTATAGTTATGTTGTCACATACCAAGGAATGCTTGGGGTCATCAAAGAAGATGAACGAGACAAGGAAGGAGTTTCTCCTACTGCCTCTGGAGGGAGTGCAGCCCTGCTGACATCCTGATTTTGCACTTCTAGCCTCCAGAACTGTGTGAGAGAATATGTTTCTGTTGTTTTTTTGCCACCAAGTTTGTGGTAATTTGTTTTGGCAGCCCTAGGAAACAAATATAGCAACTAATAACAATTTTTCAAATGTTCCACAGTCATAGAAATACAGGAAGAGTCAAAACATGGCTTGTCCCAAATCGCAAAGTGATTCAGTCCGGAT
This sequence comes from Homo sapiens, assembly GCF_000001405.40. Classification (NCBI taxonomy): domain Eukaryota; kingdom Metazoa; phylum Chordata; class Mammalia; order Primates; family Hominidae; genus Homo; species Homo sapiens. The sequence continues at coordinate 153,972,347 of NC_000002.12, forward strand.
ATTGATGTGACACTAAGAACTCTTTACTCCTGGTTCAAGATGCTACCACAAATATCCTTCTCCATCTTTTTAACTTTAATATTAGGATAAACAATTTATAGTTCTATAAAAATATAATACTTTTTTATGGAAGTCCCCTTATTAGAAAAACAATAACTACATATTGAGAATGTATAACATTTACCAACTTATATAAGTAGGCTGCTGCTTATATTTCATAATTTGCAGTCATTACTTCTAATGACAAAAATGCTACAGATGAATTGGGGATGATGTCATAATATGTGCATGTAACTCTATATTAGGTACTTGCTGTACCTAATATAAAATAGTGTATTCATATTAATATAAGGAAATTTATTGCTTCAGCTTGTGATGCAGATACTTCCCTCACCTAACATAGAGTTATATGCCCATATTATGACATATATGTCAAGGTATTTCTTCCTTTAATGAAGTGGAACTTACTAATTTAGGTAATTCAGGATAACCTATGAAGTGGCCTCACTGATAGAATTTGTGTTATGTAACACTTTAGAGTTAGTAATCCTGTGACAAAGAATAAATGAAAAGAATGATATAAAGGTAGTCATTGAGTTTTAGAACTGGTCACAATCTTAGAATTCATGTAAGCTATTTTCAAACTTCTGAAAATTCTCAATGACATAGAATACATTTTCAAATAAAATCTCATGTAAATACAATTTATTAATTGGTAAAATATTTAATTCTTCTATGTAAAGAGGGGTTAGTCGTTCATAGCCCCTTTTTTTTCCTAACAAGGAAATAGAGATATGAGGAAAGTACATCAATTATCAAAGTTAGACAAGTAGTAGAGGCCAAGATAAAACTACTGAGAGCTTTGAGGATTCTGACCTAGAGCTCTATTTAAAAATTACAGTGATCGTGAAAAGACCTCTATAATTTACAACCTTGCTTTTGATCTCATTAATTTTATATCTTTTTCTGAAATGTGTCAACATCATCCTATCTGCTGTGCCAAATATCATTAAGAGTTACTGATGTTTACAAAGAATTACCACAAATCCTTTAATACACTATTTTTGATGTACTGGTGGAATATATTTTATAACTCAGTTACTAGCAACTCACTGAAGATTTCTGCAATGCCAAATTTACAGTAACCCATTTCTCTTCTCAACTCATATAGTACCTTATCTAAACTTCTCCCATTATAATCTTTTTATAAAAATTATAAAATTTTTAGCTATTTATGTGCTTTTCTTTTTTTCTTTTTTTTGTGCCTTACTGACAGCAGTTTGAGTTCAGAACCTATGATTGATCTGTGATTTAAGGAAAGCATCTAACAAAGTATCTTTCATATAGCAGGTACAGAACCAACGTGAATGACTAAACTTTGATGTAGTTTGGACATCCTTTCCTCCTTTTACTTTTTAGACGTTCTTTGAAGATATTTAAGTAAGTTTTTTAGGTTATTCACATGCGCACCTAGTGGAATTAGATGAACATGACCATATACAGATGATCTTGTCTTACCAAGTGAAATACAGTGTCTGGTAGAGTCTGTTGATGATGGCTATGAACATTGCATGCCCTCAATAAATATTTCCTGAATGATCATTTGTAATAGGTCCACATCTCAAGCTGAAGAACAATTTGATGTTACCAATGATTTATAGACTTTTACTTTGAACTAGTTCCTGAAATTATCTTGACATTGTGCTTTTTCCTTTGAACCTTCTTGCTGCCTTGATGTTCTTCCCCTACCAATCTTTTCTCCACACTGATGGCAGATAAATCTTCCTGAAACACTATTTTGTGGCTGTTACTTGCCTGCTCAGTGTCCTTCAATAATTTCCAACTAACGGCAGCTCTAAGTCATAACTCCTTACTTTGGCACCAGAAACTGTCTATGGTCTGGCTAGACATAGTCTTAGCTTCAAATACTTTCCTAAATATTTGCTGTATAGTGGTTAACAATCGTACTTTTGTATGAGACAGATTTGTATTTTAATCAATCTGTCATTACCTGAAGGTGTGACCTTGTTAAATTCATTTGCTATTGTGAGCCTCAGTTTTTTCATCTTGAAAATAAGAATAATGACCACATGGATTTTTATTCCTTCCTTCAGTAAATATCTATTGAGTGTTTTTTATGTGCTAGTCACTTCTGTAGGTATTGGGATGAGTCAATAAAGAAAGTAGGCAAAATTATTTTGGAGCTTGCATGCTAGTGGAGGAGATAATAAATATAACAAATAACCTATAGAGTAGGCTAATAAGCAATAAATGCTATGTAAAAAAATAAGTGGATATGGGGCTATTAGGAATGGAGGAAGAGTTCTGGAGAAGAGGAAGGATGGAAATCAGTCTAAGCATAAATGAGATATTCTTCCTGCCTTGATTTCCAGAAGTCATGGTTACCAGAAGAATTAAGATTTTTAGAGATAGACTAATTCAAGCTTCCTATTATTTGTTCTGTCACTAGGTCCTAGGAAATTGGAGTCATGTGTAAGGAAAAGAAAGTTGGTTTTGACAGTCTCCCTATGTCTTTGTGATGTAAAATAGTCTAGAGGAAGGAAATCTGAATGTTTTTTCTTAAGTGATAAGTGGGAAACTTTCACAATCTTGATTAGTGTATTATATGGGTAGCATCATTAGAAAGAATGGAAATTATTTTATACCCATTCCTTTATTTGCATATGACTGTCTTTGTTGTTTTCTTTGTGTTTGGGTATAAATAAGCAAATTAGGTAGGAAATATTAAAAAGAATTTCAGCAAAGCTTTTATTCTTAATTCAAGGAAATGTATTTTGACATTAATGTTTTTTAACCCTCATTATTAACCCTGTGATGGCATCTCTTGGCCTTCTTATCATGCCTTCAAATGTGTGATTATTCATTCCTAACAATGATTACATGTCACATTTACCTGGAGGATTTGAAAACATGCTTTTTCTTAGATACCATTCACCCCTGCTCCTTTTTTACTGGTGCTTTACCAAATTTCTCAGTTGATTCTAATATGCATCCTGACCTGAGAACTACTGACTTACATGGTCTGGCACATGCCTCTCTCTCTAACCTTATCACCTCCCATTCTCTTTATCACTTGCCTTTCTCTGCACTCAGGCCTTCTTTTCATTTGCCCAAATTGCAAGTTATGTTCATATCAGTCCCTTTGCATTTTCTACTCTTAACTACTCAAAATGCTTTTCCACAGAGTCATTCATTTAACACTTCAACACATATTTGTTAATTAATCACCTATTCACTCTACCGTGGATGAAACTGAAAAAAAATAACAATTCTTCTTAATTTGGCTGCTTTCTTCTCATCATTAAATGATTCAATAGAGAGTTGTTGGCCAAAAGAACCAAAGTTTCAGTTACACAGGATAAGTGGGGAGATGATGTATAGCTTGGTGGCTACAGTTCAGAAAACTGTGTTGCATACTTGAAATTTGCTAAGAGAGTAGGTCTTAAATCTTCTCACAGCACTACACACACAAAAAAACGGTAACTGTAAAGTGATGGATATGTTAATTAGTTTAATTGTCATAATGATTTCACAACGTATACCTATAAAAACATCACATTGCACGTCCTAAATATATGCAATTTTTCTTTGTCATTTATACTTCAATAAAGCTGGGGGAAAAAGAAAAATAAATAAATATCACATCCCAACATACCTCACCTGACCATTCCAGCTGACATTGCCACTTCAAAATTATTTTGTCTTCCTTATTTTATGACAGCTCTTATCTTGTTATATATTTTGATTTTGTCTTACGTATGTATGTGTTATTGTGTTTACAACCTGTAGAGGATATGTTCTATAAAAGTGAAAATTTGTATATCTTATTAGCCATTTTATCCTCAGTGCTTAGATTAGCATTGGCTGGAACATAATGGGTACTCAATAATCAATCAATTAATTAATTAATCAATCTGCTTTACAATGTAACTAAATGTGGTTTCTGTAGTTCCTAAACTGAGTCTTATCTACCATGAAGATACTGAAGTTTAAGGTTTAGCACCCATTTTAATCATGAATCATTTTCAATCAATTTTATCTTTGTAAAGCAGTCCTTCAAAATTCACAAATTTCAAGCCTTATAATAAAATCTGGATGTCTTCTGTTCCTAAATTTTCTTCCAAGCCAATTAGGTATTAGTTTATCAGAATAACATTTGTTTTATTTCAGTTAAAGTAGTAAAATAATTTTGCTCTAAAGAACAAGCTATATTGGAATCATGGGTTGAGTGAATAAAACATTTGGAACCAATAATAAATGGTTGAGGTAATAGCTCATTTTGGAAAACAAAAGCCATTCATTTAGCTTTTCTCGTAGAAATAGATTTTTTTGTCAATCGATTATGTTGGGTTACTTATAATAAGTAACATAGTAAATACATTTAATTCCATATTACTAAGTGATTAATTCCCACAGCACATTTGATATTTTTAGAAAATTTGCATATTTTTGTAACAATTGGCAAAAAATTAATATGGAAACATGAAAAATTATTGATATGGGTATGCATTTAAAATAAACTTGAGCTTAGTTAGGAAATAATAATTGAAATAATTCCATCTACACATTTTTTAAGCACTTGCACTATACCTCCTCTAATAATAGAGGGCATACTAGTCATAATTGAACTGATAAATCATTTTATCTTTAAGTTATTTTTAATATTGCTTTTGTCAATAAGGGAATATTTTTCTTTGAGAAAGCAATGAAAGCAAGCTTTGTGCTTGACATAAAATCTAGGTGTAGTAAGCTGTCATTCAAAATCCTTTATAATTTGACTTAAATAAACCTTTCCATCAACTGCCTCTCAAGGAAAGGGTACTACTGACTTATTCAAAGCATAAATGATTCTTTTATGCCTGTATACTTGCTCATATTATTTTATGTCTAGCATTACCATGCTACTTGTATTAGTATGTTCTCATGCAGCTAATAAAGACATACCTGAGACTGGACAATTTATAAAGGAAAGAGGTTTAATTGACTCACAGTTCCTCAAGGCTGGAGAAACCTCAGGAAACTTTAAAGCAGAAAGGGAAGCAAACACATCCTTCTTCACATGGCAGCAGGAAGGGGTGGTGCTCAGCAAAGGGGGAAGCCCCTTATAAAACCATCAGATCCCGTGAAATCACTAACTCACTATCAGAAGAACAGGATGGGGGAAACCACCACCATGATTCAATTACCTCCACCTGGTCCCTCCCACGACATGTGGGGATTATGGGAACTACAATTCAAGAAGAGATTTGGGTGGAGACACAGCCAAACCATATCACTATTTGAAGTGTAGTTCTCAAACCAGCATCATCATCATTATCTCAGAGCATTTTAGAGAAATGCAAAATCTCAAGTCCCACTCAAACCCACTTAATTAGAATCTGTATATTAACAATATATCTGAGTTATTCATATGACCATTCAAATTTTAAAATTAAGGTCCAAAATGCCCTTTTCATTAACTTTTTAATTTTTGAAATTCTAACTTCTTCTCAAGACTATACTCATATCCACTACCTATTGAAGTCTTCCTTGAATATTCTAGAGAAATACGATCTTTCAATCCTGGGAATTATTGCATTAAAAAAAACAGTGCCTTCAATTACAGCTGTTTGTAGATAATCTTCCTCTTTGAGGATGCTATTCATGCCTCAGCTATCACCTAGAAAAATAGATTTAATAGCTTTTCCAAAAATGTTGTTTCATTAATTATAGTCATGCTTTCCAAAACATTACAAATGAGGTACTGAATTTAATGCAAGGTAAATTTCTCAGAGATAAGAAGATAGAATATTGTCTGTTTATTCCCTAAACTGCTGCTTTCATGCTAGGATTGCAGGTCCTCAGGGTCAGAAACTTTCTTTCTACTTCCTGAAAGACTAAGATAGTAGCATAAGGACAGAAAATTGAAGAGGTTTCCTACATTTTCATTATGACTGAAACCTTGAATCATCATCTCTACTTGCATTCAGCCTGGGTATGAATTTTTGCTTTCCTCTTTGTTTTGCGTGACCTTTGTCAAGTATCATAGTTTTCTATGTCTGATATGGTTTGGCTGTGTCCCCACCCAAATCTCAACTTGAATTGTATCTCCTTGAATTCCCATGTGTTGTGGGAGGGACCCTGGGGAGGTAATTGAATCATGGGGGCTGGTCTTTCCCATGCTATTCTCGTGATAGTGAATAAGCCTCATGAGATCTGATGGGTTTATCAGGGGTTTCTGCTTTTGCTTCTCTCTCATTTTTCTCTTGCCACCACCATGTAAGAAGTGCCTTTTACCTCCTGCCATGATTCTGTGGCTTCCCCAGTCATGTGGAACTTGAAGTCCAATTAAACCTCTTTTTCTTCCCAGTTTTGGGTATGTCTTTATCAGCAGCATGAAGATGGACTAATAAAATATCTTGTTTCTTTATCTATTAAATTGAGCTGGGCATGGTGGCTCACACAGGCAGTCCCAGCTACTTGGGAGGCTGGGGTGGGAGGATCCTTTGCGCCCAGGAGTTTGAGGCTGCAGTGAGCTCTCATTGCACCACTGCACTCCAGCCTGGGTGACAGGGCAGCTGAGCTAGACTCTGTTTCTTAAAAAAATAAACAATAAGGAAAGATAATAACAATACAGTAATATGCTCCTTACGTCATAGGTTTATTACTAGGATTAAATTATGTTACATCTACAGAAAATTTTGCATAGTTCTTAATATATAAGAAACACTCTGAAAGGTTAATAACAATAGTTATTATTATTATTTGATTATTTTAAATCTAGGTTACTTTTATTGTAGCTATCCAAGAAAAGCTCACACACAATTTCTTAAAATAAACTATTTAATTTACATTTACTTATAATGAATTACCCCAAATCAATAGTGTTGTACTTTGAGGATGGTTGTTTTTCATAAATCTTAGTGATTCAGCTAGCCACACTTATTTAAATAATATGCTGGGTTGCTGAGGGGCACAGGATCAAAAATTAATGTGGCAATAAAGGCTTCCTTGCTTTTGAACAGATCAATATCTGTAAGTGAACTAGAGGCACTTACAACTAAATATCCAGGAATGAATTAAAAATAGATTCTCTGATGCTTGATGGAGTTAAGGATCTGAGATTATGGTCTTTGAGAAACTTAGTGACCTGAATACATATTCCTCTTCTACCATCCTCCTTTTCTGCAATACTCATCAATTTCAATAGGTATTGATATGCCTGGTTGCATAAAAGGACATTGAAGAGTTGAGCTCTTTATTCTAATAGCTTTTAAAATACAAATGCGCATCATAATTATTCTCTAGTAGAATCTTTGTATATAACATCATATGCACAAATAAAACATTTATAAGTATGATTATAAACATTCTTCAACCTCATTACAGATCTAAGGAAGCTGACAAAGAGTAAAGAAGGGCAGATTCAGCATCTACGTGAGGCTGATATGTATGCTTTTTGCCGAGACAAAAAAGATTAAAATGTTTAAGCCTCGTCAAAAGTCTGTGAGAACCAAATGAAAGGTAGATTATATTCTTCCTCATATTCCAGATTATTATTTACTAATTCAATGGATAGAGACTGATGGAACACTATTCAGTGCAAGACATTAAGTTATGTGCTGTGATATGAGAGTAATCCAGAGAGTTCAGCTAATATTAAACTTAAAAGTTAAAGACAGAATTGCATGTTGAATTACAATTGTGATATATATGATAGCATGTAAATGGATAATATGATCTCCTTTGTGCCAAGGCCCTAGGCAAGGAGGAATTAACAGTATTTTGGAGACAGGGAGAATGCTAATACTGCTGGAGCATAGGTGGACCAAGGAGGCTAGTGACATGGTCAAATCATTGTAGACAATATTAAGAGTTTGTTTTTAATTCTAAAAGCAGTGGAGCACCACTGAAGGATTATAAACAGGGAACCTTAAACACTAGGGTCAGATATGCACTAAAAAGGATTACTAATTGCTATGTGAAAAAATACGTTAGAGAGCATGAAAAGTGGGTGGGAAGGAAGACCCGTTAGGAGATATTAGAGTAGCTTGGAAATGTACATAATGGTAGCCTAAATAAAGTTAGTGAAAAAGAGAGGGAATAGGAAGAGTAGACTGAATCAAGAAAGAAAGGTTTAGGAGGAGTAATAGGCATAGTTTGGGATGTTTGTAAATTGTTTATGAGGTGTCGCGTGGGTGATCATGATCTTTGCTAAGAAAATGAGTTTAGTCTTGGATAGGTTGCACTTGATGTTCCCTTTAGAGATTCATGTAAGAGTTTTGAGTCGGCAATTGGATACATATTTCTGAATCTTAGAGAACTAAGGGGCAACTTTAAAAATTGAAAATTCTTATTTTAAGACAGATGAATGGAAAAACTTCTCTACTCATATAAACCTTTTAAATTTGTCTTCTCATGTTTATTGACATGTGAGTATGAAATAGAGGTAGGCTTCCAAATAATTTAGTCATGCAGTGGTTTGCAAGCTTTGTTTCTTAAAGCCGTAAGGTATCGTGAAGGTGGCTCAGAATACCTCGTATATTGAGGAGATACCTGTGTATAGGAAGCCAGGCTCTTCCTTTTCAACTAAAGGAGCTTTACTTTTATGTAAGTTGCAATCTCAAATGATATTTTATTCATTTAAAAAATTTTAAAATATCTTTATTCACGAATGGAAACTGTCTGCTACATTATTAAATAGTGAGGTATCTCAGTTCACACCCTAATATTTGAGAATGAAGCCATGAAAGGCAACTATCATAATTATCTCCAAAATTATTTCTTTAAAGACTAAATACTAGATTGGAGCTACTGCTTATTTGGTCTCATGCAAAATTGTGTTCATCCTTGTGATATTTTAGAAATATAGTTTTTTTATTATACTTTAAGTTCTAGGGTATATATATATGCACAATGTGCAGGTTTGTTACATATGTATACATGTGCCATGTTGGTGTGCTGCACCCATTAACTCGTCATTTACGTTAGGTATATCTCCTGATGCTATCCCTCCCCACTCTGCCCACCCCATAACAGGCCCTGGTGTGTGATGTTCCCCTTCCTGTGTCCAGATGTTCTCATTGTTCAATTCCCACCTATGAGTGAGAACATGCGGTGTTTGGTTTTTTTGTTCTTGCGATAGTTTACTGAGAATGATGGTTTCCAGCTTCATCCATGTCCCTACAAAGGACATGAACTCATCCTTTTTTATGGCTGCATAGTATTCCCTGATGTATATATGCCACATTTTCTTAATCCAGTCTATCATTGATGGACATTCGGGTTGTTTCCAAGTCTTTGCTATTGTGAATAGTGCTGCGATATAGTTTCTAGAAACTATAGGCAAAAGTTGCTTAAATTCACAGTTTAACACTTTGAATTTTGCTTTGTCACCTGAGACCAGCAATTCATTGAGCCAGGTTATCTCCTTTGGCTTTCAGAATTTTTTCTAGCTCATGGTATACAGATCTGTTGTCTATATCCAACAGTCCTCTCTCAGACATAGAATAGCCTGATATGTATATTTTTCTTGCTAGTTATTTTTTTCTCCATTATTATTATTAATTTACTATATATATTATCATGTCTATTACTATAATGTCAGTTGTGGCATTAGTGAGTAGTCTTGTCCTTTTTCTTGCTATGAAGGGCAAATAATTACCACACAAAGAATGCCCCTCTGCTAGAAACTGAAAGGTAATTTCAGCTTTCTGATGCTCTTTCAAACTGACACTCAACTGTAACAAATGTGTGCTAGGAGAAATTAACATTTTTTCTCTCATATTTCACTATAATCCACAAGAACAAACACAGTACCAACATTTATCATTTTAGTTAAGTGAAATGCTAGGAATCAAAGTGACAGGCTCTGAGAGAAGTTATACTGTGGAATAAAACTTTATGATCCATTTGCAAGGACGGAAATGTACTTGGCTCATCTTAGTAAGTAAATAATGCTAAATGTATTTAAATATTGATCTGTTTTCAGTGGAAGGGTGAAATGAATTTCAAAATATAGAGGCTATAAATGTATACAAAGCATTTTCTACTGTACTACCAATATTGTGCTATGTCACTTTACGAATCTGTGAGTAAGTTGCTGAAAACTGCAAATTTTGTTATAAGTTGTAGTAGTCATCTATCACCAAGTTTGTATGTTGAAGTCAATGTACCTAAGGGAAAATAGTGACAGAGACAGATTAGTTTCTGCATAGCATCTGTCAGTGTAGATAGCTCTCACCATTTTATAGGTGAGAAGCTTAACTATCTTTAACAGGTAATATAGGTTCTATTCTAAGATCCACTGTCTGTTTCCTTTAACAAGCACCGTGATGAGGCTGTAACTTCTACCTTGATGTTTGGAGACATGTTCAATAATCTTGAGCAAACATAATACTTCATTTTTATTTTTCAAAAGATTTACAAATTATCAAATAAATTTAATTTTATACAAAAATAATCCCAAATGACAGACATATTTAATCTGTCTGGGGAAAAAAAAGAATATGCAATAGGAAGTTTTGGTATTTTCTCTGCCGTGGTGCTGAGGATATTTAAGTTACCGGGTATATTTAAGGTGCTGAGAATTTTTGTTAGAATTTGAAGAGAAAAACACAGAAGGACTAAATTTTCTTAATGTATTGAAACAAGAACTATTTTTATCTGGAGATAAATTAGACAATAATAACAATTTTATAAAGTTAATTTATCAGAAAACTAAAAAGCGATATTGAAATAAGTCTATTCTGTTTATAAACTAATTCTGTCTTGCATAGAGTGAAATTTGATGTGAACAGCAAGTAGCAAAATTTGCTGTAGTTTCTTCAATGTTTGCTGAATTTTTGAGTAAATATGAATGTTATTTTAATCTTTATGAATTCTAGGCTGAGATAGAATTTTCAAAGAAATCTGATGCAGGGTCTTATAGTAGCTTAGAAAATATAATTACTTACGGTATGAAAATATTATCAATTCATTCAATTTTTTTATTTTAAAAAACGTATCTCAATAGTTTCTACCTAAAAGTTGTGATAAATGGTAATTAATATTGATATTTATTTATAAACTCTTTAAGTATTAGAAACCACAACTTAGATTTTGCATTTAAAATAATGTAATTTAATTCTCTTCCACCTCTTCTCTTCCTTTAATTTTTGGGTTGGTTGGAGTTATCTGGTAAAGTGAATCTATGACATACACTGAAACGTTAAATGGATGGTTTTATGTTTGCAGTAATGAAAGATTTAAGCTTTAAGTATTCTCTCAAACTCTGATTTCCAAAAATGAAAAATTAAAATGAGATTCCATTTGCATAATAAAGTAGTGACAAAGAATTTGAGTGTAATTTATTTCATTGCAACCCTTTATGTCCTTGGCATTCTATCTCATTACATAAACATGCTGTTTAACATGTGGCAGTGTGTATTGGTCTAAATGGTATGAACATATTTCATTCTGTGCCCTTTGTATTGTGCCATACTGGCATTTTCAATAAAGGTATCACTTACCTTCTTCCTTCTGGAGAAAATACTGTGCTTCTTCCTAAAGGAAAGCAAAGATAATGTGAGAACAAGACAGGTAAATGTTTAATGGTATCACAGAACTGCAATAAATTTTGCTCGTTAGCTTAAGGAAAGATCTATCATATTTTATTATACCTGTCATCTTTAATTTTAAAGTCTCTTTCTATAATAAAATTCTTCTTAAGTGAAATCCATTCAGTGCTTTTTTTTTTATTTATAGAAGCTACAACTTTAGAAGTTTAATGAAATACCCAATTCTTAAACTACATTGTCATCATGGAGGTTGTACAATAATATAATCTGTTTTTGAGTTCTTGTGTCTTAACATTTATTTGGAATTTGAAATGAAAAAATCATAGGTTGGGTTTATTGCAGGCTTAAATTATTTTTATAATTGACTAGATTATTGGCAATAGTTAACATCTTCAACACAGTCATTATGTGTGCAATCTTGTACTTGTATTTGAAAGTGTATTTAGGGGCTATATAGTAAAGGATACTAGCTCCAGAAGACTGTAGTATACTAAAGGTATCCAGAGAAGTTAACATTCAAATACATCCTAACAGTGAAATTTGGAGAGACCAGGTTTCTATCACTTTTAATATTATTTAAATATTATTGGAATTATATAAATTATTTTTTATTTTTATGTTAGATCAACCATCTTTTAAGCCAGATTGTGAGTTATCCATTTGGTTATTTTTTCCTTTAATCAATTTTATTGAAGTGTAATTTACAAACAATCATATTCACCAATTTTAAGTGTGCATTATGATGTGTTTTGACAAATGTATACAGTTATATAAGCAACATGATGCCCTCCTCTCACCCCAAGTCCAGGAATTTACTGATCTATTTTTAATAATTATAGCTTATTGTTCTACATATTCCTGATGCTTCTCTTTACTATTTGTTTTATATTTCCTCTCTTTTTTTTCATTTTGGATAGTTTTCAACACTATCAGGTTCACTGATCTTATCTTCTGCAGTATTAAATCTGCTGTGAATTGTATCCAGTTCTTTACTTCTATTGTATTTTTCATCTCTACAAGGAGTTCTGTGATAAAATATGCATAATTTTTCGAATGACTAGGGGGTCAAATCCTGTTGCTGATGTTTTCATTTGAGGAAGTTCCTTAATTATTCAGTGCCTTGCAATCTTTTATCTGAAAAATGGGAAAACAGTTCCATCTGTGTTGTAAGATCAACTACAACTATCTATATGTAACACTTAAAAGTAAAAAGTAAACTTTCTGTAAGTACCAACTATTATTTTTATTATCAGTTAGTATTTATGACTTATTAAATGCCCATTCTTAGAAAAACTAAATATGCCTATTATTTGTAATTCTCAGCTAAGCGCATCACGTTCCTAAGAAAAAGACCCTTACATCCTACTTAACTCGTCTTCCCTCCAAAATGTAAATGTCCATTTCTCCTGAAGTCCATTTGGCTGCATCCTGCCCAGACTCTTATCTTCACTGTAATACATAGAACATACCTTTTCTATTGTTATTGAGTTGTGTCAAGAATTTCCTTCCTGTTCAGTTGTATTCCTCTTGTATATCAAGCTTTCCATTCTACTTTGATAATTTACATATGGATTCCTTTTCATAGGACTGTGAGTGACTGGAGAGAATGGATTTTCATATCATTTGTTCTATTTTCAGCACCAAACTCAGTACCCGGCATAATAGTTACCTCATTCTGAAAGACAAAATAAATAAATAAATAATTATAGGAAAACAAACACATTATGACAGTTTTAGTGGACTCCATCAGCTTAATACATTAATGGGCTTGCTTCTTACCTGTCTTGGCCAGCTGTGAAAATGAAGAGCTGACCCCAACCACTGCTTGACATCACATGAAAACATGTCCTGACTGAAGGTCTCCCAGAAGAGTTCCAGGCCTATTTGCCTGATGAATTTTCCTGTTTCATTATTTATTAAAATGCTATTCAGTAGGAAGCTGAATTTGATGATAGTTTGCAATGTTGCATTTTTATTGGAAATCTTTGGCTGTATTTAGTTTCCTTGGTGTAAGTTGTTACGTGATCTCAGCATAATTGTTCAGGTCAGAGCACTTTTGTCCTTTTGTGGTAGTTCTGAAACTGGCCCTTGGCCAGATTTATAAGTGTATCTACAAGAAGTATGAAATTGCTAGATAGTATTATCAGTGATGAGGTACGGAAATATCGGGCATGAGACTATCTGACTCTGGCAGTAAAAAGACTGTAACTCTGTGACTTTGCCTCCTTTTCAAATCAGTACCTCGTATTTACTTTATATGCTAAAGAGCTGGCTTCAAACCGTCAAATGGTACATGCATTAACATGGAGAAGGTTTATTTTGGAAGAATCTCATGTAGAAAAGGCAACACTTTCTTTTAAAATTTTGACTTCTAAATCAGAGGAAAAATGTGTCATACTCAAAAATATATATCCCTCATTTAAAACAAAAGAGAAAGACAGGTATTGTTCTAAATGAGATATTCCTGGGTAAGTCAGATATCACACAGTAATCAATAAGTGCTAGGATTACAACAGTATACTTGGTCATATAATACACATCCGCAATATTGATACTGGGATTTGATAGTTATGCTTTTGAAAATCACTACCTGGAGTCATGATTTTGGCAGCAGTTTCTCAATTCGAATTTATGGACTTCACAATTGTAAAGTTGCTTTGAGTAGTTATTTTTTAATCCCCTGCCCTCAAATCCTTTTAGCCCAAGTTTATCCCGATCACCGTGACAAGATTTTCATGTCACAATAGAAGACTCTTTTCTGTACTAGTGCTTTAACTAGCAAAACAGCCTTTGTTTGTTGAAAGCCTCTGAAAGGGCTCAGAATGCCTACGGAAATGAGTCATATTGGGTGTAACAAAGTGGATGAAGGGGAGAATTATAAGAGAGAACTATGAAAAGCTGGGCAAAAGGCTGCTCGTGCAGGATCTTCTATGTCCTGGTAAAACTTGTATTTCATCTGAAGTACAGTGGGAAGCCACTAAAAAATATTAACGATAGAGGAAGGGAATGAGAAGAAATAATATAATCAGATACACATTTTAAAATTTTTCCTTCTGGATGTTGTTTGGCAGTTAGTTTGGAGGGAAATAAGAGAAGCGTAAGAGCCAGTAAACAGGGTATCACAGTAGTCCAAAGAGAAGAGAGGAAGGTGGTTTGAACTTAGGAGCAAGGGATTCGAATGCCTAGAGTTGATATCCATTTATACACACAATAATATGTCTTGGTATTAGATTGGATCTAAAGGATAAAGGAGTAGGAAGAATCAGGATGAGAGCCGGATCTCTGGCCTAAGCAAATGTTTAAATGCTGATTTCATTTAAATAAAATCGGGCAAGTCTGTGGGAAGAAGAATTGGCTGGGAGTAAAAAGAGATAGGGTTCTTGTGAAACTCAAGTTCGTTGTTGTCTGTTGGATTTGAGAGCCTCATAATTCATCTAGGTGGTTAAATTCTAGTCTGGGCTTAAGGGAGAGGGGCCTTTACTGCCTCTATCTTGGAAACAAGACAACTGTTAAGCAAGAAGGTACCTCTTTAGATACAAAGTAGATAAATATTATTAGACTCAATCATTGTATTGAATGATCTCACGCTTCAATGGGAGAGATTAAATATGTATACACATGTTAAATGTTCCCATAGTAAAGCCTAGTCTTATGTTTATTGTAATGAATTTGGGCATATTAACTTATGAAAGAGCAAGAAGCTAGGGATTATATTAGTCTAAGGCGTCTTTGGAGGAATCATACTACAAAATTAGGTGCTGACAATTGACCTCAAAGACTTGACCACATAGACAAAAAAAGGAAGATAGTTTGCCCTTTAACTTCCTGGGCATGGCACTAGATAGGATGATAACTCACCCTGAGTTGGGAGATAATTGACTTCAAGCATCTTTGCAGAGAAGGATGCTATGAAATCATTTATTTAGTTTTCTGACCAAAACTATTGCATTATTTGCAACAGTACTAAATTAATAGTATTGATCAAATAAAAATAGTTGCAATATTAAAAGGTCTGAAACTATTCCTACAGTTAGGATTAATCCCATAAGTATTCGGGGGAGAAGAGCACCATAGAACAGAATGTTTTAAAAACTATTTTTAAATTAATATTGTTTTGACAAATAATTGTATACATTTGAGGGTAGGAGGTGACATATATATATATATATACACACACACACACACACACACACACATATACAATTTAGAATGATTAAATCAAGTTAATTAACATATTCATTGCCTCTTTTACCTATCATGTTTTATGGTAAAACATTTGTAATTTACTCACCTGGTTATCTTGCAATATACTGTACGTTGTCATTGACTATAGTCATCCTGCTGTACAATAGATCTAAAACTTATTCTTCTTGTCAGAAACTTTGTATCCTTTGCTCAACAACTTTTCATTCCCTCTCACCTGCTGCCACCTGCCCAGCCGCTAGTAACCACCATTCTACTTTCTACTTCCATGAGTTCACCTTTTTTGGATTCTCCATGTAAGTGAAACAATGCAGTCTTTGTCTTTTTGTGCCTCGCTTATGTCACTTAACATAATGTCCTCCAGGTTAATCCACATTATAAAAAATGGTAAAATATCCTTTTTTTGAGGCTGAATAGTATTCCATTGTGTATATACACTGCACTTTCCTTATCCATTTATCTTTTGATGGGCACATAGGTTGATCATGGACCATAAGTTTTAAAATATGGGCAACATTGGAATAAAGCATTGACGGTGATTATAAGTAGCTGATGTTATACAGTTGTCAGAAGCAAGGGCATTGGTAGCCCTCTTGAGTAATATGCATCTATCTAAACCCTTGGTGAAAATTTAAGAGGATGATGAGGATCTAAATACGTAATAAAAGTGACATATTTTTAAGTCTTTGGAGTATTTATTTATATTAAGTTCAGGTGACTAAAGTATGATTTTTTTGCATAACTCAGGAAATAAATTGAGCCAAGTAAACAGTAAATGCCAGAGATGGTAGTAAAAATGGAGAATTCCTTCTCTTTTTGAGGTTCATCATGTTGAATTTAAATTGAACCTTAAAAGTGGGATAATTTATGTCAAATTTTGTTAATCTCAGCCATGCCACATGCTTGTAATAATAGATAGAGGTGCAATTAAGGAGTAAAGTTACATATTACTGTTACATTTTTCCAGTGCCTTAAGAATGCCTGTATCCTCTCCTAGTCAAACATTTCAAGGACATTTCTAAAGAATTAATACAAAATGATATAAAATTGAGTAAAGCAATACTTTATGCAGCTAGATTTAATCTTGTTAAACATGCATTAACTTATTTTTTGGCCTATATAATCTAGAATCAACATACGGTCATAGATCTGCATTGTATATGTTTCAAACTCTTAAGTATAAACCTAAATCTAAAATCATATCCCTCTACTGCTTGAAAAGGCCACATCCTTTAAGGCCAAAAATTAAGAGAGAGTGGAAAGTTCTTAGTTTGCCTGATTAATTATCTATATTCCCTCCTTTAAGGCACCAATCATGATATATATGTGGTCTAAATACGTTGATAAAAGCCAACCAATATAATTTTCCTCTTTTGGGTTTGTGTGCAAGGAATCCTGGAGATTAAATGAAGAGTACTTCGTCTTTGAAGCTAACTTAAAGGCAGAATTTAGATATCTGCAAAAATGTGGAAGAGTACTCTTGGCAAGGTGGATTACGTAAGGAAAGGTATATGGGTGTAGCAAGGCACAGGGCAATTCCAGGGAGAAAGTGAATATCACAGATAACTGTTGAGCATTTGCCATATTTATGCACACTACAAAATACTACAGCAGTCAAATATGCACGTTCCTTTTCCTGCTCTCATATGTCAGGGATTTAGTTGGAAATGCTAGGAAGTGAAAGATATTGATTGAAATGATGTTTTAAGGCATGTTGATATGATCTCAGAATGCATGGTGTTTTGGGTATAGAAAAGTCCAGAGGTAAATAAATTTGTCAGAAGACAATAGAATTAACTCCAGTATGAAATGGATGCTATTTACCTTCAGAGATAAAACAAAACAAAAAAGGATCAACAACATATGACAATATGTTGGTTGAAATAGAACAACATATCGAAGTAATTTTTCTTATCCCAGAGGAGTCATAGAGTAACATAAGTAGCATTTATTGGAGGCAGCTTATGAAAAATAGTTCTATATAGTATTAGTATTCTTTCATTTAATCTTTCTGTAGACTGGTGCTTTTTTTCATTTCTGTTCATCAGATGTGAAAAATTAAGGCCTGAAAAAATTAAATAACTTGCTCAAAATCAGACAATTAGTAGATGGTAGTGTTGGCATTCTGAGTCAGGCAGCTATCATTTTAAAAATGATGAGGAAGAGAAAAAGATGTAAGAAAGGTGACAAGTTGTCGCAGAAGACCAACAGAGAAGATATATTTGCCAATGGTGTGTTCTTTGTGTTATAATTTGTATTTAGAAGACTTTCCCACACTTAATTATGTGGATTGCCAATGTTAGCATCCTGTGTCTGTGGTATAAGGTCTACTTGTAAAAAATAAGTGAGTAACTAATATGCACTTTCAGTTTTTTAGAATAAAGTCTTTACACATTTAATGCAGAAATGAAAATAAGTCATTGGAGAATGATAAAGTTTAGAAATCCTTGTTACAAGGGAATTACGCTCTTTGAGTCGTATTTTGAGAATGTGTTTCAGAGTCTGGCATAACATTCATTACATTGAGTGGGGCTCTGTGACTTTGAAAATAAAACAAAAGAGTAGGTTTGAGAATATGGAATGATAAATATCCCAAAGCAGTGTTAGCAACAAGTCTAAATGAATAGTTTAATGTGCACTTTCCTAGCCATACAGCTTACAAAGCAAAACTAAAAACTTTCTTCTGCAAATGTGAACTAGTTCAGATGAATATTTTAGAAAATTGGTGTACAAATGGTGATAGCTGTTGTTTCAACATTTGAGAAGCAGATTGAAACACAAAATTAGCTATTAGCCTACAGCTTAAGTACTCTCTAGGAAGAAGAAAACAACTGAAGCTAGCAAATTGACTTTCATTTGGGATGGGTGCCCATGGTTCTGATGAAACTCTCATGCAGTAACTTCCAAATCTCTGGGGACATATGTTCAACTGACCTTTGGGAAGTAGAGCAAAGAGAAGCTGGGCAGCTTTATACAAAATCACCCTTAGCATTTCACTCAGCAAAACCTTCTCCACCAGAACACAGCATTGCATAGATTTCAAAGAAATTGAAGCCTAACTGGGAGAAGAACATAATAATTCACTCATAATGTTTGGAATACTGTTTAACACATTCCAATAAAGCACTGGCTGGGCAGGGCTAGATTGTGATGGAGCAAAAAACGTGAGAATGAGCTGACACCTGGTCAAATCGAAGGATTGAGGATTCAGGGACCTGAAGATAAGCCTGAATAGACAGCTGGAGTGAGGGACAAGGAATCTGGAAATTCAGTCCGAGTCAGATATATTATGAGATGTGAGGCTGCGCTGGAGGGTGGAAGCAAGATTTGGAAGAGAAAAGAGTAAACACTGTCCAGAGGTTCCAGTGAAGGAGGAGTGTATGGGCAGGAGGATATACAACATGTCTTCTTTAGGGATTAGGCCTTGATTCTTAAAAATATATAATGAACCATCATTAGAACACTCTTTGGCCACTTTACAAGAAAAGAATGAACTTAGTGTAGGTATGGTAGTGAGGGGCTTATTAACTAGTGGTAAATATAGACATCCAAGCAAATAATTACACTGTATTTTGTTAAACAGGGACAATAGTATGAAATGGTTAAAGGGGATAGGCTTGACTATATTTAATTCTCATTTCTGCCATTACTGGTTGTGTCACCATCAAGAAATTGTTTAATTTTTTTAACATCTATTTATACTTACTTAAAAGGGGGAAATAATATTATCAGTGTTACTGGGCTGTTGTTTTGGATCAGGGTGTTGAAGGTCATCATCATCTGATGATCACTCCTATTTTACTAAGGACAAGCTTGTACTTAATGCCAAAGAGAGAAATAAATAATGTGAAAAGGCTGCTGCTGGTGTCAACAATGTGTTTGAAATCATGGGAGAGTGGATCATGAAAATGAAACATTAATCTGATAATTGTTACCCTTTTAAAGGGGAAATAAACCTTTCAGGGAAATAATAATATCTGATAATTTTGTCCTAGGGCTTTATAATATAGTGACTTACCATTGTTATGTTTTTATGTTATGTTTTCAATCCGTAAGTTCTTCAAATAACTAGAAAAACAGCAACCACTATGTTGATTTAAATATTTCAGTATTGTGAAGTAAAAGAATTAGAAATGCAATGGTAATTAATAGTTGTGTGTTTTAATGTATCATATGCATGTTTATAATTAGTGTGCTAAGATTATATATGCTTGTTCATTTAACTAATTTCTAAGGGAGAAGTTCAGATACAAACTGTGCTTTGATGAAAATAAAATAAAAGTGAATGTTAGGAATCTTTAATGCTATTTATAATGCATGTTGGCACTTTACTGTATAGGAAACATATCTGGACCTAAAATGGAACAGGACCGAGTAATTTAATGCTAAATTTTTCATTTTACATATAATTCATTGAAAAATACATGTATGAACAAAGTTCAACCTGAACACTGAATGATCTGATTGTATAACTTGCTTCTGGGCATCTAGATTCATGAAGCTGATTCCCTAATAAAGGTAAGTCATTCTGGAATAAGTGTATCCCCTTCTAGTAATTTCTAAACAACAAATTGCATTTGCAATATATTGTCATGGGTTATAACTTTAGTCTGTGAAAACAATACCATGATACTTTTTAAAAAAAAATTTAGAAAATAAAGTGGAACAAAAAAGCAGAAAACCAATGGCAGCACTAACAGTGAAAAAGTCGATCTGCTCTAAGTGCTGCCTCATCACCCTTGCCTATTAGGCAAATTATTTTTATTGATGCTTATAGAAGTAAACTAATATTCATTTTATTTGGACATCTTATATCTAATACCCAATTTTCTTTCATCATTAAAACTTTAAAATCCTACAAATATTTACTTTAATAGAAAATATACTGTGAAATTAGACATGATAGACTCTGGGGAAGCATTTATTTGATTAGGAAAGGTTAGTTCAAGCTGTTCTTTATGAAGGAATATTAATAAATTCAGAAGATGATATATTTACGACTAATATATTTTATATTTTTACCAAGTATGTGAAGTCAATTTATAAATCACAGAAAATTATCAAGATTAACACCATTTACAACTATTGTATATATTAAGTTTTTATGTGCTATATTTGACAACTTTAGATATTTACTATAAATTAAATATCAAGTTCATTCTGAATAGATGTGTACAAATAAAGTGATTGTAAATTTATTGAATAAAGTGGAATAAAGTAGTAGTAGTATTTAGAATAATATACTGAATTAAAAAATGATTTCTTCCAACATTCATAGTAGAAAGCATTATTAATATGATAAATTTGGCCGGGCACAGTGGCTCACACCTGTAATCCCAGCACTTTGGGAAGCCGAGGCGGGCAGATCACGAGGTCAGGAGATCGAGACCATCCTGGCTAACATGGTGAAACCCTGTCTGTACTAAAAATACAAAAAAAATTAGCCGGGCATAGTGGCGGGCGCCTGTAGTCTCAGCTACTCGGGAGGCTGAGGCAGGAGAATGTGTGAACTTGGGAGGCGAAGCTTGCATTGAGCCGAGATCGTGCCACTGTACTTCAGCCTGGGCGACAGAGCAAGACTCCATCTCAAAAAAAAAAAAAAAAAAGATAAATTAAGCTAAATTCTTCTTGACATATTAGATGATTTGCAAAAGGATGCCAAATTTTGGTGGTAATGACTTTTATTCTTTTACTTTTCAAAAAATGTAGGTAAACCCCCTGTGCAACCATGATCATGCTTCAAGTACTTAGATCGTTTTTCTTTTGAATTAACTCTTGTATATTCAACAGAACACTTAATTGTTTTCTTTTTTTTGTTATTATTATACTTTAAGTTCTAGAGTACATGTGTACAACATGCAGGTTTGTTACATATGTATACATATGCCATGTTGGTGTGCTGCACCCATTAACTCATCATTTCCATTAGGTATAACTCCTAATGCTATCTCTCCCCACTCACCCCACCCCATGACAGGCCCCAGTGTGTGATGTTCCCCTTCCTGTGTCCAAGTGTTCTCATTGTTCAATTCTCACCTATGAGTGAGAACATGCAGTGTTTGGTTTTTTTGTCCTTGCGATAGTTTGCTGAGAATGATGGTTTCCAGCTTCATCTAAGTCCCTATGAAGGATATGAACTCATCCTTTTTTATGCCTGCATAGTATTCCATGGCATATATGTGCCACATTTTCTTAATCCAGCCTATCATTGATGGACATTTGGGTTGGTTCCAAGTCTTTGCTATTGTGAATAGTGCTGCAATAAACATACGTGTGCACATCTTCTTATAGCAGCACGATTTATAATCCTTTGGGTGTATACCCAGTAATGGGATGGCTGGGTGAAATGGTATTTCTTGTTCTAGATCCTTGAGGAATCGCCACACTGTCTTCCACAATGGTTGAACTAGTTTACAGTCCCACCAAAAGTGTAAAAGTGTTCCTATTCTTCCACATCCTCTCCAGCACCTGTTGTTTCCTGACTTTTTAATGATCGCCATTCTAACTGGTGTAAGATGGTATCTCATTGTGGTTTTGATTTGCATTTCTCTGATGGCCAGTGATGATGAGCATTTTTTGATGTGTCTGTTGGCTGCATAAATGTCTTCTTTTGAGAAGCGTCTGTTCATATCCTTCGCCCACTTGTTGATGGGGTTGTTTTGTTTTTTTCTTGTAAATTTGTTTGAGTTCTTCATAGATTCTGGATACTAGCTTTTTTTCAGATGAGTAGATTGCAAAAATTTTCTCCCATTCTGTAGGTTGCCTGTTCACTCCGATGGTAGTTTCTTTTGCTGTGCAGAAGCTTTTTAGTTTAGTTAGATCCTATAACTAAACTATTTTAGAGTTGATCAACAATTTCTGTATATGCAAATAATTTAAGTGTCTATACTAATGTAAGAATATCCATGACAATATTTTTTATCTTATTGAGAAATATATATCACCATTTTATTAAAGATTTAAGCTTTCTTAGATGATTTCATCTAAGAAATAATACAACTAAGAAACAATTAATTAGATTAGATCTCATCTAATATAGTTTAGTTATAAACATTTGCATATCTATATTAAATACTTTCCGTGTTTTCAGCTTTTTTGTATTTAATGTAAAACCCACATATTGATAACTTGTTTAAAATGCATAAAATCAACGCCTTTGATTTGCCTATTTAATAAATAAAATTGAACTCTCAGTTCATTTTAATTAAAACATTTATTTTATGTTTAATTTTCTACACTCAGTGCTGTGTTATACATAAAAATAAATACCACTGCCTGTTCATTTTGGAACCAAAGAAGGGTTGTATGTAAATTAATAAGAATTAGACATTGTCATTTCTCTCAGGAGCTCAGGGGCAACTTAAAGATATTCTCAGTTATTTCATAACTATCATTTAAATTTTCTTTTTAAAAGTTTTTGTTTATATTTGGCACATAATTTTACATGTTTATAGGGTACAGTGTGTTGTTTCAATACATGTATACATTGCATGATGATCAAATCAGTGTAGTTTTGATCTATCCCTCAATGTCTATCCCTCAATCCTTGATCATTTCTCCGTGGTGGTAACTTTCAAGATTTTTTGTCTAGCTACCTTGAAATATGCAATACATTGCTATTAGCTAAAGTTACCCTATTATGTGATAGAACATCAGAACTTATTCTTCCTCTCTAACTGTAACTTTGATAAACCAACCTCTACCCTACCACTCCCACCTTCTCCCTTACCTCTTCAGCCTCTACCTAAACACTATTCAACTCTCCACTTCTATGAGATCAACTTTTAGAAATTTCATCTATTAGTGAAATCTTGCAGTATTTGCCTTTCCGTACCTGGCTTATTTCACTTGACATTTTATCCTCTAGATTTATCTGTGTTGCCACAAATGACAGGATTTCCTTCTGGTTTTAATAGCCGAATAGCATTCCAGTGTGTAAATACCACATTTTCTTTATCCATTCATTGGTTGATGGATGCTTAAATTGCTTCCATCTCTTGACTGTTGTGACCAGTGCTGCAATAAACATGAGAATGCAGTTATCTCTTCAGCATACTGATTTCATTTTCTTTGGATAAATACCCAGTAATGAAATTGCTGAATCATATAGTAGTTCCATGTTTAATTTTTTGAGGAACTTCTATACTATTTTTCTATAATGGATGTACTATTTTATATTCTAACTAACAGTGTATAAGAGTTCTTCTTTCTCCACACCCTTGCCAACATTTGTTATCTTTTGTATTTTTGATAATAGCTATTCTAACTGGGATAAGGTGATATCTTATTATGGTTTTTATTTGCATTTCTTTTGATGATGAGTGTTGTTAAGCGTTTTTATCCTATATCTACTGGTCATTTGCATGTCTTCTTTTGATAAATGTCTATTCATGCCCTTTGCCCATTTTTGGATGGGATTTCTTTTTTGCTATTGAATTGTGTGAGTTCTTCATATATTCTGGATGTTAACCCCTTGTCAGATGCATAGTTTGCAAATATTGTCTCTCATTATGTAGGCTGTAACTTCAGTATGTTGACTGTTTGCTTTGCAGAAGTTTCTTAGTTTTACATAATTTCATCTGCCCATTTTTCTTTTATTGCCTGTGCTTTTCAGGATCTATCTGAAAAATTCTTCTTGAATCAATTTTGTGAAGTGTTTCCCCTATGCTTTTTTGTAATAGTTTTGTAGTTACAGGTCTTATATTTGAGTCTTTAATCCATTTTGAGTTCATTTTTGTATATGTGAGATAGGGTCCAATTTCATTCTTCTACGTGTGGATATCTAGTTTTCCTGGGACCAATTTTCTTTAATTGAATGGACTGTCCTTTCTCCAATGTGTGTTCTCAGCACCTTTGTAAAAAGACAGTTTACTGAGATGCATGGATTTGTTTCTGGCTTCTCTATTCTGTTCTGTTGGTCTTTGTGTCTGTTTTTATGTCAGTACCATGCTGTTTTGGTTACTGTGGGTTTGTGGTATATTTTGAAATCAGGTAATTGGATACCTCCATCCTTGTTTTTTTGCTCAAGATTCCTTTGACTATTCTGGGTCTTTTGTGGTTCCATACAACTTTAGGATTGCTTTTTCTATTTTTTGAATGAATGCCATTGGTGTTTTGATAAAGATTGCATTGAAATTATATATCACCTTGGATAATATGGACATTTTAATAATATTAAGTCTTCCAATCTATAAATATGTAATATCTTTTTATTTGTGTCTGCTTCATTTTTTCATTAGCATTTTTTCATTACTGTTTTATAGTTTTTGTTGTAGTGATCCTTTACCCCCTTGATTGACTTTATTCTTAGGGGGATATTTTTGGCTATTATAAATGGGGTAACTTTCTTGATTTCTTTTTTACATAGTTTGCTATTGCCTTAGAAAAAATGCTTCTAGATTTTCTGTGTTTATTTTGTACCCTGCAACTTTACTGATTTCACTTACTAGTTCTAACAGTTTTGTGGTGGTATTTTTAGTATTTTCTACACATATAATTATGTCATCTGCAAACAGGGACAATTTAAGTTCCTTTTTAAAATTTTTTTAAACTATACTTTAAGTTCTGGGATACATATGCAGAACGTGCAGATTTGTAACATAGGTATACATGTACCATGGTGGGTTGCTGCACCCATCAACCTGTCATCTACATTAGGTGCTTCTCCTAATGCTATCCCTTCCCTAGCCCCCGAGCCCCCGACAGACCCTGGTGTGTGGTGTTCCCCTCCCTGTGTCCATGTGTTCTCATTGTTCAACTCCCACTTATTTGTGAGAACATGTGGTGTTTGGTTTTCTTTTCTTGTGTTAGTTTGCTGAGAATGATGGTTTCCAGCTTCATCCATGTCCCTGCAAAGGGCATGAACTCATCCTTTTTTATGTCTGCATAGTATTCCATGGTGTATATGTGCCACATTTTCTTTATCAGGTCTATCATTGATGGGCATTTGGGTTGGTTCTAAGTCTTTGCTATTGTGAACAGTGTCTCAATAAACATATGTGTGCATGTGTCTTTATAGTAGAATGATTTATAATCTTTTGGGTATATATCTAGTAATGGGATTGCTGGGTCAAATGGTATTTTTGGTTCCAGATCCTTGAGGAATCGCCACACTGTCTTCCACAATGGTTGAAGTAATTTACAGTCCCACCAATAGTGTAAAAGTGTTCCTATTTCTCCACATCCTTTCTAGCATCTGTTGTTTCCTGACCTTTAATGATCACCATTCTAACTGGCATGAGATGGTATCTTATTGTGGTTTTGATTTGCATTTCTCTGATGACCAGTGATAATGAGCTTTTTTTCATATGTTTGTTGACAGCATAAAGGTCTTCTTTTGAGAAGTGTCTGTTCATATCCTTCGCCCACTTTTTTGATAGAATTGTTTGTTTTATTCTTGTAAATTTGTTTAAGATCTTTATAGATTATGGAGATTAGCCCTTTGCCAGATGGATAGATTGCAAAAATGTTTACCCATTCTGTAGGTTGCCTGTTCACTCTGTTGATAGTTTCTTTTGCTGTGTAGAAGCTCTTTAATTAGATCCCATTTGTCAATTTTGGCTTTTGTTGCCATTGCTTTTGGTGTTTTAGTCATGAAATCTTTGCCCATGCCTATGTCCTGAATGGTATTGCCTAGGGTTTCTTCTAGGGTTTTTATGGTTTTAGGTCTTATGTTTAAGTCTGTACTCCATCTTGAGTTAATTTTTTATAAGGTGTGAGGGAAGGGTCCAGTTTCAGTTTTCTGCATATGGTTAGCCAGTTTTCCCAACACCATTTATTAAATAGGGAACCCTTAACACAGACAAATGGAAAATCATTCCATGCTCATGGATAGGAAGAATCAATATTGTGAAAATGGCCAAACTGCCCAAAGTAATTTATAGAATCATGCTATCCCCATCAAGCTACCATTGACTTTCTTCACGGAATTAGAAAAAACTACTTTAAATTTCATGTGGCACCAAAAAAGAGCCCGCATAGCCAAGACAATCCTAAGCAAAAAGAACAAAGCTGGAGGCATCATGCCACTTGACTTCAAACTATACTACAAGTTTACAGTAAGTAAAACAGCATGGCACTGGTACCAAAACAGATATATAGACCAATGGAACAGAACAGAGGCCTCAGAAATAACATGACACATCTACAACCATATGAACTTCCTTTTTTTTTTTTTTTCCAATTTGAATGTCATTTATTTCTTTCTCTGGCCAAATTGCTGTGGCTAAGACTCCCAATAGTATGTTAACCAAAAGTGGTGAAAGTGGGCACCTTTGTCTTGTTCCAGATCTTAGAGGAAAAACTATAAACTTTTCCCTATTCAGTATGTTATTAGCTGTGGGTTTATCATATAAGGCCCTTATGTTTTGAAGTATGGTATTTCTATGCCTAATTCATTGAGAATTTTTATTATGAGGGGATGTTGAATTTTGATGTTTGATTTTTCTGAATGTATTGTAACACATGTATGATTCTTCTGTCCTTGATTTTGTTAATGTGATTTATAAAGTTTATTTCTTTGTGTATGATGAACCATCCTTTCATCCCTGGGATGAATCCCACTTAATCGTGGAGTATATTCTTTATAATATATTGTCGATTCTGGTTTGCCAGTATTTTGTTGAGGATTTTTGCATTTATGTTTATTAGTGATACTGGCCTGTAGTTTGTTTTGTTGTTGTGTTCTTGTCTGGTTTTGGTATCAGGGTAGTGATGACCTTGTAGAATGAGTTTGAAAATATTCCCTCCTTTTAAAGTTTTTGCGTGAGTTTGAGAAGAATTGGTATTAGTTCTTTTTTTTAAATGTTTGTTAGAATTCAAACCTGAAGCCATTAGGTCCTGGGCTTGTCTTTGATAGGAGAGTCTTTCAGACTGCCCCAATCTTGTTATTTGTTATTAATTGGCTCAGATCTTCCATTACTTCATGATTTGATCTTGGTAGCAGTTAGGCAAGAGAAAGGTTGTATTTGTCCAGGAATTTACCCATTTCTTCTAAATTTTCCAATTCGTTGGTATATAGTTGTTCATAAGTATCTATTATAATTATGTGTATTGGTTATAGTACCTTCTTTTTCATCTCTGATTTTATTTAGTTGAGTTTTTACTCTTTGTTTTTAGTCTAGCTAAAATTGTATCTGTTCGTATTTTCAAAAAATAACACTGTTCATCGGTCTCTTATACGTTTTTATTTCTATCTCATTTATTTCTGCTCTGATATTTGTTATTTCTTCCCTTCTACTAATTTTGGGCGTACTTTGTTCTTTTTCCTTTGTCTTGAGCTATAACATTAGGTTGTTTATTTGAAACCTTTCTTCTTTTTTGATGTAGAATTATGTTGCTCTAAAATTTTCTCATAGAACTATTTTTGCTGTATCTCATAGGTTTTGGTATGTTGTGTTTCCATTTTCATTGGTCTCAAAGAATTTTTACACTAAAAATAATTCTTCATTGATTCATTCATGTTGTCAAATGTCTACGTATTAGAGTTTCTAACATTCCTTTTGTCATTTATTCCTGGTTTTATTCTACTGTCGTGAGAAAATATAATGGATATGATTTTAGCTTTTTAAAAAAATTGTTAAGACTTGTTCTGTGACCTAAAGTATGGTCTATACTGGAGAATGTTCCATGTGCTGTTAAGAAGAATGTATGTTTTATAGCTGATGGATTGAATATTCTGTAAATGTCTGTTAAGTCAATTTGGAAAACAGCACAGTTTAACTGCAGTGTTTCTTTGTTGATTTTCTACCTGAATGATCTTTACATTGCTGAAAATGGGGAGTTGACATCTCCTACTATTATTATATTGCAACCAATCTCTCCCTTTAGGTCTATGTGTATTTGCTGTATATATTTGGGTGCTCTGGTGTAGGATGCATACATGTTTACAATTGCTATATTTTCTTGCTGTATGGATGCCTTTATTATTATATAATGGCTTAAGTTTGATATTGTTGTCATTCCTCTCTTAAATTTTATCTGAAACACATATAGCTACTTACACTCTTTTTTTAGTTTCAGTTTGTGTGGAATATCTTTTTGTGTCACTTCAGTTTCTATCTTTGTGCATCTTTAAAGGTGAAGTAGATTTCTTGCAGGCATCATTTATTTGCACCTTTTTAAAAAATGTTATATAGTCACTCTGTCTTTTAATTGGACAATTTAATTCATTTATATTCAAAGTTATTGTTGATAGGTAAGGGTTTATTACTGATATATTTTTACTCATTTTCTGTTGTTCTTTTTTTGATCCTTACTATCTTTGTGGTTAAATGATTATCTTTATTAGCACATCTTGATTCTGTATTATTTTTAATGCATCTATTATAAGTTTTTGCTCTGTGGTTATCATGAAGCTTACAAAAAAATTATATAGTTATAACAGGTCATTTTAAGCTGATACCATCTTAACTTTAATTGCAAAGAGAAGAAACTGAAACGCAATCTACAGTTCAAACACCATCCCTCCACACTTTTACTTTTTGATGTTTCAATTTACATAATTTTATATTATATATCTCTTAAACAATTATGGTAGCTATTATAATTAATAATTTTTGTTTTAGTCTTCATACTAATGATAGTAGTGGTTTACAGGCCACAATTACAGTATTGGTGTATTCTTAATTTGTATGCTTTTACCACAGAGTTTTATACTTTCAGATGTTGTTTTGATACATGTTAGAATGTTTTCCTTTCAAATGGAAGGACTCCTTTTAGCATTTATTCAAAGACTTGTCTGTTAGTTATGTATTTCCTTAGCTTTTGTTTTTCTGGTAAAATCATTCCCCTTCATGTTTGAAGGATAGCTTTTCTGGGTATAATATTCTTTGTTGAAAGGTTTTTTTGTGTGTGTGTTTTGTTCTAGCACTTCTAAAATATTATCCCAGTCTTTCTTGGAAGGTAGGGTTTCTGCTGAAAAATCT
Source organism: Homo sapiens (assembly GCF_000001405.40). Classification (NCBI taxonomy): domain Eukaryota; kingdom Metazoa; phylum Chordata; class Mammalia; order Primates; family Hominidae; genus Homo; species Homo sapiens. The sequence goes on from NC_000002.12 coordinate 154,002,033, forward strand.
GCTGGAAGCTCTATTGGGGCTCTGTTGTATTTGGTATACTTCTTTTCTCTTGCTGCTTTCAGTATTCTTTGTCTTCAATTTTTAATAATTTAATTATGATGTGCCTTGGTGAATTCCTCTTTGGATTGAATTTAATTGTTGACTTCTGAGCTTTCTATACCTGGATGTTGTTGTTATTCTCCATATTTGGAAAGTTTTCAGCCATTATTGTCTTAAATAATCTTTCTAGGCTGTTTTTTTCTTTTGTCTCCTTCAGTAATAGAAAGGTTTATTCCCTTTATGGTGTTTCATAATGCTTGTAGGCCTTTTTCACTCTTTCTTGGTCTTTCTTTTCCTCTTCTCATTGGATAAATTTGTGTGTTCTGTCTTCAAGCTCACTGATTCTCTTCTCTTTTGGTCAAGTCTGCTGTTGAAGATTTCTGGTGAGGTTTTTAATTCATTTATTGTATCTATAATATAAAATTTCTATTTTTTATTGCTTTTGTCAAATTTCTGCTTTTATTCCTAGGTTGTTTTTCTTAATTTTCTATACATATTTTCTTGTGATTCTCTGCATTTCTTTGAGTATTATTCTGAATTCTTTGTTAGATATGTTATAGATCTTTAATTCTTCTGGCTCCATTACTGGAGCTTTGTTAATTCTTTTGGTGAAGTCATGTTTTCCTGATTTTCCCTTGTGTCTTCATATTCATTCCTGTGCATTTGCTGAAATAGCCACCTCTTCCATCTATTGCAGTTGTTCTTTGGTGGTTTTAGACTTTTACCAATTGTTACCAGAGTTTAATCATGGGCCCGTTTGTTGCTTCGAATTCTAGGGAGACCTTATAGTGAGCATCAGAACTAAAATATGGCACCAGAACTTACTCACTGCCCTTCTGCTGTTTCCCATGCTGAGGATGACTTATTGCAGTCTGAAGAAAACTTAAGCACACATCAGAATTTAATTGGTAACCTTTTAGGTTTTGCAAGTTAGGGGATTCTTGACACAAATACTTAGGCTTTGTGAGGAACCCAGCCAGGGTTTTGGGCCTTCACATATACTAGGCTCCCTTTAGCACCAAGATACCAGGCAGCATTCTCAGCATGGCTTCCCAACTGATAGGAAAACAGAGCAGATACCAAGATTTTCATGCTTGTCACTGCAATCAGTGTCCCCAGTCTTCTTTCCAATTTACCCCACATCATTGAGCCCTGTTGGCCCTCCCATTGCTTCCTGTGGAATGAAATCAGTTTGGCCCCCCATGAAGATTCCCAGACTGGTGAGGAGATTAAACATCCACCTTTATTTCTTCCCAAGAAACTGTGAGTCTAAGGAAATTCTCTGAGAGTGGTGTTATGCCTGCTTGGGAGACGTGGGCGTTTACCAGCTGTGGCTTCTGTCATTTTTGTGGCTCAGGGTATTTTTGTGCTTCTTTTCCAAGTTCTTGTGAACTCAAGGTGGCATTCTTGCCTTTGAATACTTTCTAGGTGTACTTTTGTTGAGGGGAGTAATGCTGAGGGATCTTCTATCCTGCTCTCTTGCTGATGTCACTCCTCTTAATTTTCTTTTAAGTATTGTTGAATACAAAGTCTTGTTGCCTACTGATGTGGTTTGTCTCTGTGTCCTTACCCAAATCTCATGTTCTTGTAATCCCCAATGTTGGAGATTGGGCCTGGTGGCAGGTGATTGGATCATAGGGGAGGTTTCTCATGAATGGTTTAGCAATATCTCTCGATGCTGTTTTCATGATAGTGAGTGGGCGAATTGTGAGATCTGGTTGTTTAAAAGTGTGTAGCACCTTCCCCCTCCTCTTCCTCCTTCTGTGACCATGTAAGATGTGCCTGCTTCCTCTTCACCTTCCACCATTATTGTAAGTTTCCTGAGGCCTCCCCAGAAGCAGAAACCACTATACTTCCTGTACAGCCTGTAGAACCCTGAGCCAATTAAACTTTTCTTTATAAATTACCCAGTCTCAGATAATTTTTTATAGCAATGAAAAAACAGACTAATACATACCTTTAATTTTTCTAATTAAAGGACTAATACTAATACCTTTCATTAGACCTTTAATGAATTATAGACTAATTCTAATTATAGACTAATTCTAATACATTTAATTTTTCTCCATAGAATTATTACTAATTGTTATTACTTTGCTATAGAATATCCAGATAAAGTGTTTAATTTCCTTTAATTTTTTTTTGTTTTTTTTGAGACGGAGTCTTGCTCTGTCTCCAGGCTGGAGTGCAGTGGTGTGATCTCAGCTCACTGCAACCTCCACCTCCCAGGTTCAAGCGATCCTCCTGCCTAAACCTCCCAAGTAGCTGGGACTACAGGCATGCATCGCCACGCCCAGCTAATTTTTGTATTTTTAGTAGAGAGGGGGTTTCACCATGTTAGCCAGGATGGTCTTGTTCTCTTGACCTCATGATCTGCCTGCTTCGGCCTCCCAAAGTGCTGGGATTACAGATGTGAGCCACCGCACCCAGCCAGTGCTAAATTTAATACATTGAAGGAGAGATTCATTTCTGACAGAACATGGAACTTAAAATGAATATGAGTCAGCCTTTCTTACTACATATTGTAGATTGATCTCTTAGTGTTTTGATCGACAGCTAGTATCTCAGTCGTACCATAGATCAGTTCTCATTTCTGATGCCACTAGTGTCACAAAAATTGATTTGCCATTACTCTGTTACCTCTGATCTTTGAAGTGGTAGGGTATTAAACTTTTCTATTGGTGAGAAACATAATTTTGGCACAGTTATGTTTCAAATATATGTTATTGATTGCAAAGAGAATGAATCTTTACACAATGCTAAACAAACAAATACACATACCAGGTAGATAGTGACTCAGTGATATCAGCATTTTACATACTAAATTATTGCTTGTAGTCTCAGAAAATAGTATTTAATCCCTAAAGTATACCTTTAAAATTAGAAAAGATAGTATGGCAAATTTAGTAACTTTTAATAAGGGCTCAATATAATCTGTTGCTTTAGAATTCCATCACTGTGCAGAAAATTGACCTTATTTTGTGCATGTTTCATTTTTCAAATTGATTTTCTGTATTTTACCTCTGTAATTACTACATATGTTTCGAATTTTGTCTTCAGTCATTTCAGCTAATTGAATGTAAAATTTATATGATGGTTATATTGAAAATGATTTAAAATTATTGGTTGGTGAAATTGCTGTTATATTGGTATTGATATACAAGCAATAATTACCTTACTTTGTAGAGTAATTACAAGGATGATACTCCTCTACTTATAGTTGTGGGAGTTTGATTCATATTATATTTTTTATTTGTTGCGAATTTTATTTTCAGGTTTATGCATTTATTCTGTGTGATTTTTGGCATCCTGGAAACCTGTGCCCACTATGATATTTTTTAAATACCTTAAAAAATTCTTCACTACATAATCTGCAAGACTGAAGTTCTAGTGTCTTTGATTTATTCTTCAGTTGTTTGCAATGTGGTTGGAATTTATGGCCCCAAACCATAATGTGGAAATGAGAAACAACACTGGAATCTACATTCAAGCTTGGGCCCTTTGCTCTTTTCTCAGAGGCTTATCCAAGCACACAGCGAGTTTATTATCCCTTTTCATCTTGATGGGACAGCTTAAATTGACTAATTCCCAGATGCGTACAAATATAAGTAAGGGGAAAATGTTACTTAAATACTTCGATTTATTTTTTTTTTGTGGTTAAAATAAAAACAACTGCTGCTATCAAGAGAAGCTAGGTATATGTTTCTTTAACTTTTGTGTGCATAAGAATCACCTGGAGAGATGGTTCGACACAGATTTCTAAGTATAACAGTCAGAGATTTTGATTCCGTACATTGAGCAGTTGGGTGCTTTAGAATTTTCCTTTTGGATTAGCTACAAGTTGCTGATGCTACCTGTACAAGGACCATATAATGAGTAGCCCTGTGATGGATGATAAGCAATCAGAGGTATCTTCCTAATGTTTAAAACTTTGAGGAAAATGGGTACATTCATTAAGTAGGCACACAAAATATCTTCCACATATTTGGATGTTAATGATAAAGAGAACTTCTAGGGTGCAAATCTGGTGGTAACTATGCTGAACATATATTTTTTCACAGACATTTTACATTAGAATAATCCTGTGAGATTCTTAATTACCAAAACTCATTGGACTTCAAATGGAAGTTGCATTTATTAATGATTAGTTATCAAGAAAATTATGTGAATTACTGATTGTTTTATAGAGAAGATTGTTTTAAAAAGCATGTTTGATGTATACATTAAATTTTTTGCTAAATGTCCTTGGGGTTGTGGGGTATTGTAAATCAAATTTACATTAAGTGGATGATTAAAATTAAAAGCTGATTTTTAATCTGTTTTCTAATAATTCATCACAAATTTAACTAATTAAAAGAAAACTTGCTTTCAATTTGTACCAGTTGATAACTTTTTATTGATGTACTAAATCTTGTAAATTGGTTATAACTATTTGTGAATAAAATCTCATAACATATCAGAAAAATGGACTGTGGGTTCCAATAACAGTGGATTATCCAGTTGCAAATTAGCGTTTTAATGAGAACTACCAGAAAAACTGGTTAATATTTTTTAAATAAAAATAAATTTTACAACACAATGACCATGGTAGGGAGCACAGGAGAGGCCCAGATGCTGGATTTATCTTGCAGGTAATTGTCAATTTGCACGTGAAAATTACCAGGCTAAGAAGCCGGAAGAAGTTTTAGCAGTCTTCAAATACTATGATGTTCAGAGTATACCAAGTAGGAGCTTAACTACCCAAGCTTTCAATTGATACCACTAAAGTGTTACATCTTGGAATTGAGATTGTAATGGGAAGACTTGTAAGATGGCTCCCAGTGACCCACATTTTTTGTCATTCCCTCCCTTTGAGTATGAGAGGACCTATGGATGTGATGGGATATTATAACTGTGACTAGATTCAATTTTGTGACCAAGATGAAGAGATTCTGCAGATGTATTAAGGTCCCAAATCAGCTGGATTTTGAGTTAATTAGAAAGGAGATTATCTTAGGTGCACCTGATTTAATAAACTCTTCAAGGAGTGACTGAGACATTGCTTGTGAGAGAGACGCTCTTACTGGCCTTGAAGTAGTAAGCTGCCATATCATAATAGGGCCCTGTGGCGAGGCACTGTGAGTGGCCTTTAGACTTTGTGAGCAGCTGTCAACTGACAGCCAACAAGAAAACAGGGACTTCATTCCTACACCTGAAAGGATTGAATTTGTCACCAATCGTGTGAGCTCAAAAGATAATTCTAAACTCCAGAAAGGAGCAAGGCCTGGCCAACACCTTGATTTTGGTTTTGTGAGCCCCTGAGCTGATGGCATTGATAAACTGCCCAAATGCCTTACCCATAGAAACTGTGGGAACCTTAAATGGGAAAATGAAAGGTTGCGATTATTCTGTATAGTTCCTTTCATTTCTAAACATTATGTTTTCAAGTTGTGTTAGTATTATATTCTGAATTGAGTTTGTTAGAATTGATTCCATATGAGGAATATGTTGTTTATTCATCAAGAAGGAATTTATATACTTAGGAAAAGGCCTAGAAATATGTTCACCAAACTCTCAAAAATTGATATTATAGTTACATTACATACCTATGTTAGAGTATAGGATAAAGAGGCGATGGTTGGGAGATAGAGAAGGGAATGCTAACATTTTGTTTATGCACTTCTATACTTTAGATTTTTTGTATAGAAGGAGCATTGTTTACTCTTTACTGTTTTTACACCTGAATATCAACTTTAAGACAGCAATACAACACATCAGGGACAAAATTGTTTCCATATATAGTCTTAGGTTGTCTATTACCAACTATGGCCTAATCTAGACTTGATGACACATTAGGAAATCTATCTTGTATTCAACGCAAAGATAGAACCCTTCATATTTCCACTCCTATTCCATCCCTACCCCTCCGTCAGTGCCCCCCAACTATTCTCATGGTTATCAAATTTTAGTATCTGGATGTTCATCCTCAACTTGTTATTTGCTTCATTATGCTTAATTAGAATCTCATTACAGTTGGTTGGGTCAACTAAAATTTTTCTCTCATAAGAGACAGGATCAACTCCCAAATTCCAGTACTATTTTGAATAGGAGTGGTGGGAGTGGGCATCCTTTTCTGGCTCTGGTTCTCAAAGGGAATGCTTCCAGCTTTTGCCCATTCAATATGATGTTGACTATGGTTTTGCCATAGGTGGTTCTTATTATTTCGATTCATATCTTTTCACTCAGTTCTCCCTTAGGAGTATTTGGGTTATCCATTATCTTGGAATATAATTCTATATCATTTTCCTATCTGACCTTCGTATATTACCACTTGTGCTAACAATTTCTCTCTGGGGTTACTTTTTATTATATTTTATTTTTTAAAATCTTTCATTTTAGGTTTAGGGGTATATGTACATGTTTGTTATATAGGTAAATTGTGTGTTATGGAGGGTTGGTAATACAGATTATTTAATCACCCAGGTAATAAGCATAGTACCCCATTTGTAGTTTTTTGATCCCCACCTTCCTCCCACCCTCCCTGCTCAACTAGGCCCTAGTGTCTATCTTTCCCTTCTTTGAGTCCATATGTACTTAATGTTTATCTCCCATTTATAAGTGAGAACCTGTGGTATTTGGTTTTCTCTTCTGTGTTAGTTTGCTTAGGATAATGGCCTCTAGTTCCATCCATGTTGCTGCAAAGGACTTGATCTCCTTCTTTTTTATGGCTACATAGAATTCCATGGTATATATATGTATCTATATACCTCATTTTATTTATCCAGTCTACCGTTTATGGGCATTTAGGTTGATTACATGTATTTACTATTGTGAATAGTGCTGAGATGAATATACGAGTGTATGTGTTTTTATGGTAGAACAATTATTTTGGGGGAGTATATACTCAACAATGGGATTGCTAGGTTAAATGGTTGTTCTATTTTAAGTTCTTTGATAAATTGCCAAACTGATTTCAAGAATGGCTGAACTAATTTATATTATGACCAACTGTGTATATAGTATAGTGTAAGGAAGGGGCCCAGTTTCACTCTTCTGCCTGTGGCTAGCCAGTTATCCCAGCATCATTTATTGAATAGAAAGTCCTTTCTCCATTGCTTCTTTTTTTTTCTTTTCAATTTGTAAAGAAGAGATGGTTATAGGTGTGCAGCTTTATTTCTGGGTTCTCTATCCTGTTGCATTGGTCTGTGTGTCTGTTTTGTTCCAGTACCATGCTGTTTTGGTTACTGTAGCCTTGTAGTATAGTTTGAAGTTGGGTTATGTGTTGCCTGCTGCTTTTTTCTTTTTGCTTAGGATAGCTTTGGCAATTTGATGTCTTTTTTGGTTCCATATGACTTTTAAAATACTTTTTAAAAAAAATTCTGTGAAGATTGTCCACTGGTAGTTTGCTAGGAATAGCATTGAATCTATAAATTGCTATAAGGTGTTATGGCTTTTTTTTTTTTTGAGGCGGAGTCTCACTCTGTTGCCCAAGTGCAGTGGCATGATCTCGGCTGACTGCAACCCCTGCCTCCTGGGTTCAACCAGTTATCCTATCTCACCCTCCCAAGTAGCTGGGACTACATGTGCCACCACCATGACTGCCTAATTTTTATAGTTTTAGTAGAGAGGGGGTTTCACCATATTCATCAGGCTGGTCTCGAACTCCTGACCTCAGGTGATCCACCCGCCTCGGCCTCCCAAGGTATGACCATTTTAACAATATTGATTCTCCCTATCTATGAGCATGGAATGCTTTTCCTTTTGCTTGCATCATCTCTGATTTCTTTGAGCAGGGTTTTGTAACGCTTGTAGAAATCTTTCACCTCCCTGGTTAGCTGTATTCCTGTGTTTTTGTGGTTGTTTTGTGGTTATTGTGAATGGGATTATGTTCTTGATTTGGCACTCAGTTTGGACATTGCTGGTGTATAGAAATGTTACTGAGTTTTATACATTGATTTTGTGTCCTGAAATTTTGCTAAAGTGTTTTTTAATCAAATTTAGGAGCTATTGAGCAGGAATTATGGATTTCTCAAGGTATGAAATCATATAGTTGTGAAGAGAGATGGCTTTACCTCCTCTTTTCTTGTTTGGATGCCTTTATTTCTTTCTCTTGCCTGAGTGCCCTTGCTAAGACGCTTCCATCTTTTGCCCATTCAATATGATGTTGACTATGGTTTTCTCATAGATGGCTCTTATTATTTTGATGTATGTTGCTTCAATGCCCAGTTTGTTGAGGGTTTTTAACATGAAGGAATTTTGAATTTTCTTGAAAACCGTTTCCGTGTCTATTGAGATGAACATGTGTTTTTTGTTTTAGTTTTGTTTATGTGATGAATCACATTTATTAATTTGCCTATGTTGAACCAACCTTGCATTCAAGGGTAAAGCCCACTTGATCAGGGTGGATTAGCTTTTTGATGTGCTGTTATTTGGTTTGCTAGTATTTTATTGAGGACTTTTGTGTCTATGTTCATCAAGGTTATTGGCCTGAAGTCTTCTCTTTTTGTTGTGTCTCTTCCAGCATTTCATGTTAAGATGATGCTAGCCTCTTGGAATGAATTAGGTTAGAATTCCTTCTCCTCAGTTTTTTGGAACAATTTCTGTAGGAATGGTACCAGCTGTGGTTCATATATCTGGTAGAATTCAGTTGTGAGTCAATCTGGTCCAGGACTTTTTCTGCTTGTTAGGCTTTTTACTACTCATTTATTTTTGATATTTATTATTGATCTCTTCAGGGTTTCAGTTTCTTCCTGGTTCAATCTTGAGAATATATTTTTCAATGGAATATTATATATTTCTTATATCTTTTTTAGTTTGCATCTATAGAAGTATTCATAATAGTCTCTGAGGGTTTTTTTGTGTGTGTGTGTGTATTTCTATGGGGTCAGTGATAATGTCCCCTATGTCATTTCTGATTGTGTTTATTTGGATCTTCTCTGTTTTTTTCTTTATTCATATAGCTAGTAGTCTAGCAATCTTATTTATTCCACAAAAACAAACTTTTCGTTATGTGACCTTTTGTATTTTTTTTCTCAATTTCATTCAATTCAGATCTGATTTTTTAAAATTTCTTTTCTTTTGCTAGTTTTTGGGTTGGTTTGCTGTTGTTTTTCCAGTTCCTCAAGCTGTTAGGTTAGGTTGTCAATTTGAGGTCTTTCTAACTTTGTGATGTAGCTTTCTTCTTAATGCTGCTTTAGCTGTGGCCCTGAGATTCTGGTATGTTTTGTCTTTGTTCTCACTGTTTTCAAAGAAATTCTTGATTTCTGCCTTAATTTCATTGTTTACCCAAATGTCATTTAGGAACAGGTTGTTTAATTTTCATGTAATTGTATGGTTTTGAGTGATCTTCATGGCTATTTTTATAGCGCTGTGGTCTGAGAGTGTGGTTGGTATGATTTCAGCTTTTTTGAATTTGCTGAGAATTGTTTCATGGCTGATTGTGTGTTTGATTTTACAGTACATTTCATGTGCAGATGAGAAGAATGTATATTCTGTTGTTTTTGGGGTGAAGAGTTCTGTAGATTATCTGTTAGGTCCATTTGGTCAAGTGTTGTATTCAGTTCCTGGATATTTTTGTTAGTTTTCTCCCTTGATGATCTAATATTGGCAGTGGGGTGTTGAAGTCTCTGACTGTTATTGTGTGGTTATCTAAGTCTTTTGTAGGTCTCTAAAAACTTGTTTTATGAATCCGTATACTCCTGTGTTGGGTGCATATATATTTAGGATAGTTAGGTCTTCTTGTTGAATTGAATTATATGCAATTATGTAATGTGCTTGTCTTTTTGATCATTCTTGGTCTAATGTTTGTTTTGTCTTAAATTAGAATAGCAACTTCTGATATTTTTAATTTTACATTTACTTGGTAGATTTTTCTTCATTTCTTTACTTTGAGCCTCTAGGTCTCCTTGCCTGTGAGATAGGTCTCTTTAAGACAGTACTGTATAGTTGGGTGTTTATTTTTTATCCAACTTGCTGCCACTTTATGCCTTTTAATTGGGGCATTTACCCAGTTTGCATTCAAGATTAATGTTGATAAGTGGGTATTTGATTCTGTCATCATGTTGTTAGCTTAGTATTATGCAGACTGGATTGTGTAAGTGCTTTATGGTGTGAGTGGACTATGTACTTAGTTGTGTTTTTGTGGTAGCCAGTAACAGTGTTTTATTTCCCTATTTAGGACTTTCTTAAAGACCTCATGTAAGGCAGGTCTAGTGCTACTGAATTCTCTTAGTACTTGCTTGTCTGAAAAGAATTTTATTTCTCCTTCATTTATGAGGCTTAGTGTGGCTGGATCTGAAATTTTTGGTTGGAATTTCTTTTCTTTAAGAATGCTGAATATGAGTCCCCCATCTTTTCTGGTTTGAAGGGTTTCTGCTGAAAGTTTCATTGTTAGCCTGACGGGGTTTCCTTTGTAGGTGACCTGCCCCTTCTCTCTAGCTGCCTTTATTTTTTCTTTCATTATGACCCTGGAAAATCTGATAAGTATGTACCTTGGGGATGGTTGTCTTGCATAGTATCGTGCAGGGGTTCTCTGTATTTTTTGAACATGAATATTGGCCTCTCTGGGGACATGAGAGAAATTTTTGTGGACTGTATCCTCAAATATGTTTTCCAGGTTGCTTGCTCTCCCTCTCTCTTTCTGCCATGTCAGTGTGTTATAGATTTGGTTTCTTCACATAATCTCACATTTCTCTGAGGTTTTGTTCATTCTTTTTTATTTGTTTATATGTCTGATTGAGTTAATTTTGAGAACTAGTCTTTGAGCTCTCAGATTGTTTCCCCAGCTTGGTCTGTTCTGCTGTTTATACTTTGTGATTATATTATGGAATTATTGTATTGTTTTTCAATTCTATCAGATTCGTTTGTATCTATCTTAAAACGGCCATTTCTTCATTCAGCTCCTGTATCTTTTTATTGTATTTCCTGGATTCTTTGGCTTGGGTTTTGACTTTCTCCAGGATTTTGATGATCTTCATTCCTGTGTATATTTTGTATTCTATGTCTGTCATTTCAGCCTGGTGCAGAACCATTGCTGGGGATCTAGTATGGGCATTTGGAGGTAAGAAGACACTGGCTTTTTGTGTTACCAAAGTTTTTATGCTGTTTGTTTCTCATCTTTCTGGGCTGATGTTCTTTAATCTTTGAAGTTGCTGTCCTTTGAACGAAGCCTTTTGCTTTTATCTTCTTTGAAGCCCTTTGGTGTTTGATTGTGGTATAGGGTGCCTTTAGTCTTCTGGCTTTGATTATGGAAGATTCCAGGGGGCCGGGAAGCCCCAGCTGTGTCTTCTGGCCCCTTGAGGTTATGACCCTGACGGCTAGAAGTGCTGAAGCGTTCCTCATAAGCTGGCCCCAAAACTTTAAGGAGAATGCTGGCTGAAGCGCTTCGTAGGGTTGTTGGCAGTGGTATCAGTGCTCACCTGTGCTTGCCAGTCACTGTGGCCTTGCAGTGGAGTGCTTTTGTGTCAGTGGGGTGGTGCACTAGTATGGGTGAGGTGCTGACAGGGGCGGGCACACCGGTGTACACTGTGCTCACTTGCGCCAGAGAAGAAGCGGCACAGCAGGGGTGGGCTGCTGGTGGACACGAGGTTCTGGAATCTGTGCACGCAGTTGCACCCACCGCTGTGCGGTGGGCTGCCCACACATCAGCGAGGGCGCAGTGCTGGCAGGGGTGGGCAAGGCAGCAGAGTGTGCTCATGACAGCAGCGGTGGGGCAGTGGGGTGCACACTCACATGCCTGCTGTAGGAAGAGGGTTGGCGAGGTCGGTCGGCCCTTGCGCACACACTGCCAAAGCAGTGAGGGGAGGCTGCAGTGAGAAGAGGCTGTGGGTGGGCTGGTTTTGTCGGCAGAGTCCGGTCTGCTGGACTTCTCTGATGGTTAGGCATGGACTGCCAGCGAAGAAGCTATCATGAAGGCATCAGGGAAGCACCCTGGTTAGGCATTTGATGCTGCATTGCAAGCGGGAGTGATCAGGCTGGGGCTCCAGGAGAAGCTGGCAGCAGGAGAGGCTGCTCAGATAGAAATGGCTCTGAAACATGGGCAGGACCGCCCTGTTCCCAATCCGACTGTCACCCAAATGCAAAAGCCACTTAGAGGAGCTTGGTGAGCCTTGGGGGATAGACATCCCTGGCCATGCTCCACTGCAGCCATTCCCCCGACAAACCTTCTGAGCTATGCCCAGGTTGGAGTCCTGGCACTGGCATCTCTCAAAGCAGCTCTCGCTGCCAGATCAAGTGGTTTGTGGGGGTCCTGAGGTCTCCTGCAACTAGGATTACGGGGGTCTGTGGCAAGGGTGGGCCACTCATCACCTGTTAAACTCACCCCTTCCCCAGTATTCACTGGGGGCCAGGAGTGGGTCACAGGGCTCAACAGCCCCATGCAGGATTTCCAGATTCCTCCCGCTTCAGTCCAGTATCTTCATCCTCCTTCCGTCCACTCTCAGTGCCTTCCCTCTGAAGGTCTGCTTGAAGTGTGCTAGTATTCCCAGTGCCTGGCTGTGTCAGGTCAGCCATCTTGGCTCTTTCCTCTGTTTTTTTTTGTTGTTGTTGTTTTGTTTTTCTTACTTTTTGTCTTTCTGATAATTCTCCTTTTTTTTTTTTTTTGAGACGGAGTCTTGTGCTTTCTCCCAGGCTGGAGTGCAGTGGCGCAATCTCAGCTCACTGCAAGCTCCGCCTCCTGGGTTCACGCCATTCTCCTGCCTCAGCCTCCCCAGTAGCTGGGACTACAGGCGCCCACCACCACTCCCAGCTAATTTTTGTATTTTTAGTAGAGACGGGGTTTCACTGTGTTAGCCAGGATGGTCTCGATCTCCTGACCTCATGATCTGCCCGCCTCAGCCTCCCAAAGTGCTGGGATTTATAGGCGTGAGCCACCGCGCCCAGCCTCTGATAATTCTCTTTATCTACCTCACCCAAAATATACTTGTAGTGAAAATATACAATTTCCCTTATTGACATATACATTGAATAGAAAAATAAAACAAAACATGCATATTATCTTCTGAAAAATATGTATCCATTTTCTATAGCTAGATAAATATTTAATGGAAGAAACAATGCCTCATATGTGTGGGCAGAAGTTAAAAAAGGAAAAATAAAAGATATGGTACTTCTTTTCTAATACCAGAGTTTGAAGTGCTTCCATTCTTATTCTACTTTGTTTTGGTTAGCAACTTAAAATATGAATTATTGCCATCAGAATAAATCTGATTTAGTGAATTTATTTTAAGTTGTATTTGAAAAAATAGCAATATTTGTTAAAAATTTAACAATAAAAAATTAAATTAGTTACTTCCTGGTCTTTGATAAGTCCTAAAGCATGACATCATTGTTGAACTTAGAAAATCTCTGTGCTGATGTAGGTACTTCCAATCATTAGGTGGGATTCTGCCACTATATCAATAAGATGTGTCTGGTACACTGATATTTGTTGACGTCACTGATTCCTAGTTCTCTCAGGAGTCTCTCTGTGGCTTTCCAACATTCCCCTGGGAGAAAACGCAGCTATCAGTGGACAACTTTTCCCATTTTATTCTGAGTTTTTAAACTATTTTCTGTCCACTTGAAAATTTATGTTACTCATCACATTGCCTTCTCCTACTTTAATTATACTATGTTTGGAAGAAATGAATGAAAACTTAAATTTAAATCACATAATAATATCTATAGGAAGCATCTTACTGTCACATATTTTGAATGTTCCTAGTTGCAATTAGTTTTCACCCCCAATATTTAGCTTCTCAGTGTCATGATTTTGTACTCTCCTGCCTAAAAAGAAAATCTACGTTCTTTCTTTAAATTTTAAAATTATATTTATCCTAATATTTTACATAACTAAGAACACATGACTGTAATCACTTGAAAGGTATTGTGAAAATACGAATGTTTTAGGTACAAACTCAGAGGTGCCAGACAAAATGAAATTAATCAGTATCTACTTGTGTTGAGCAGTTACCAGCACAGATGGTAGGAAATTAGCTTATTCTTTGTCTCAATATATTAATGATGCAAAATTACATGTATTTCACTTTGGACAAATATCTGACAGACTAGCAAGCAATATTTTAGAAACATGACCCCTTGATTGATAATGGAGCGAAGCATTTAATACCTTAAGTCTAACTTAAATTTAATACATTCTATATCATTTTAGATGCCTCCATCTAAGCTTTTTAAATTGGGACATTACACAAAGTGATCAAAATAGAGTTTCAGTGACTTTGTGGAGTATAGAATTAGAATTTTGAATTCTTCATTCATAAACACAGGGGTGATTTTTAAAGATTATGTTTGGCACTTAAGTCTTGATGGTTGTCTCCTGAGTAGCCTCTAATCTCTATTCAGAAGATTTATATTGTACTAGATTGTGTTTTGTTTGTTTGTTTGTTTTTGACAGAGTCTCGCTCTGTCACCCAGGCTGGAGTGCAGTGGTGCGATCTCAGCTCACTGCAACTTCCGCCTCCCTGGTTCAAGTGATTCTCCTGCCTCAGCCTCCCCAGTAGGTGGGACTACAGTCATGCGCCACCATGCCTGGCTAACTTCTGAATTTTTAGTAGAGACGAGGTTTCACCATATTGGCCAGGCTGGTCTTGAACTCCTGACCTCATGATCCGCCTGCCTCAGCCTCCAAAAATGCTGGGATTACAGGCATGAGCCACTGCGCCTGGCCTAGATTGTTAAATCAACAAATCAAGCCAACAGGATGATTTGAGGATTTATATAAAACAACTAGAAAACTGAACAACAATAATAATTTTTATTTTTTAATGAAATATATCAATAATTGAATGTTAAAAGGTGTGATGTAAATGATCATTGTTGAAAAGAAAGAGTGATCGGTCAAGGGATTTTTGTTGTTGTTGCTATGGGCTTAAGAAATGAAGAATGTGGAATTAATGAGAAGTTGAGAATTTTCTGAGGGGCTGGGTAAGAAACTACAAGAGATATAGAGAAATACAGTATGTGAACAGAAAGTAGTCTTTTTTTCCTCTGGAAGATTAACATATAGACAAAAGAAAACCAATGAGGAACCCACAATCTTGGGAAGAACAGATAACAGAGTATCCACAGGGAGCTGTATCCCAGAAAGGGCACGAGATGAGAAATGCAGACTTCATTTTTTCATCTATAAAATGAGAATTTTTCATTCTCTTTAGTCTGACTAATATGACTTTCATGGAGATATTTTAAAATTGTAAATGATATGAAATATAATAATAGATAATACTGGCATTATATTAGTTATAAAGTAAAATCATATCCACATATAACTTTTCACATCCTTGTATGAGTAGGAATGGGCAGTACTAGCTTTGGAGCCATAATGTCCTCATTATTTGAAAAAACTGTCAAAATCCACTCTCTTCCTAAATAATTGGTTAATATGATATTAAAATGTAAAATGAAGACTACTCTTTGAAAATTACACGATAAGTACACCACTTTAGTACTTACTTAAAATTTTGTTCTTTATAGATTACTAGGGTGTTATTCATAAGTGCAACATTGAGAAATTTACATATTTTCCCAAGAATTTGGGAAGAATATAATGAATGTTTTTTTCTTGCTTAAAAACACTCACAAATTAATTTGCAACTTATTATTGACTATAAAGTTATTCGTATCGCTCTGGCAAATGAGTAAACCCAGTTCATATCTGAAATATAAAACTTTTCTTTCTAAATAAAGAACAAGTTTTACTATTTTTGAAACATCCTATTTATGGCTTATCACTACAAGTTAATATGCACATTGTGGAGTTTATTTTTGTTATTCGTAGGGAGAATTTTAGGTATTGTAGCCACCTTCTAAAGATCTGAAATGAGTTTTAGTTGTGACATGTATTGTCTTTAGGTCCTATTTATATTTTCAGTTTAGGTGGAAATAGTTCTTTTTGACACGTCCACTGCTTACTTTTTGTTATTATCCTTTGCTTACTTTTATGCCTCCAAAAGTTTGTTGCTTTATAATTGATTTGCCTTTAATTCACTGTAATCTTCATTGCAATAGAATGAAGTAAGCTTGTCAGGTGTGATTCCTAGCTCTTTTTATATTTAGGAATTCAATGGCAGTAGCAACTTGAGAACTGTCTTTTCAGAAATCTCAGTACATTCGCAACTGCAATCTCATACACTCAGTAAATATATGAACGGAAACATTTTTTACATTTCCATTTGTTTTGTTACTATTCCAATTGCTATTTATTGTCAGGGTTTATTCCGTCCTGTAAACTGCCACTCCCAACCATAGGAGAAGGAGCCACGTTTGCAAAATGCAATTAAAGTAGCCACTTCCTCCAGCTACCTGGACACAGTAATTGTCCACACCTTGTCCAAGCTGGACCAATAAGATTCTCTCAGAATTTGGAATTGGGTCTCATAGATATCAGTCTCTGCGGTCACTTGAATTAAGTTATTGTAAACTCAAGATGAAAGAGTTCAACCTTTTTTATTAGCTTGTGTGTATAGGAAAAAAAACAGAGAATGCCAAACCAGCGAGAAGATAAGAGGATGGGGGATAGGGAGAGGGAATGATGCAAAAGGTGAGGGGATAAGAGAGAGGGAGAGAGAATGATGAAGAGGGTGAGGGGCTGAGGGAGATGCAGAGAGAATGATGAAGAGGGTGAGGGGCTGAGGGAGATGGTGAGAGAATGGTGGAACGGGTGAGGGGATGAGGCAGAGAGAATGATGAAGAGGGCGAGGGAATGAGGGAGAAAGAGAATGAGAGAGAAGGAGAAGAGAAGAGGGAGAGGGACGGGGATGAAGGAGAGTGAGATGGAAGATGGTAGAAAGGATGAGAGAGGAGGAGGAGGAGAGACAAGAAGAGGGGAGAGGAAAGAGAGGAAGAAGGAAGCCTGGAAAAAGGAGAAGAAAGGAACAGGAGAGATGAAGGGAGGGAATAGAGAGAAATAACAGGGAGTAGGGAGGAAGAAAGATAAACGAGAGAGAGAGATTGACTGTAGTAAAGAGATGTATGAAGAGCAGAATCAAGACATTAGGTGTCTTCAGAGAAACAGAAAGAAGCTGAAGCTTCATGCCTCTTTTTATTCCTTGATGCTAGTGCCAGAATCTTGACTTCACTCTCTGCTCTTGGTTTCCTTGAGTTCCACCCATATTGTTTATTTATTTTGCATCACTCATTCAACCCTAAGAAACTTAACCAAGATATAAATTAAATCAAAGCTTACTAATACCATAATTTAAAAATCAAATGGATTGTTTAGGTTTTTGAACATTTAAAGCCATTTAATATCTTGTTTTGCTATAGAAATCATTAATTCTTTAGCATATTTGAAAAATACATACATGGCCAGGCACAGTGGCTCACACTTGTAATCCCAGCACTTTGGGAGGCCAAGGCAGGTGAATCATGAGGTCAAGAGATCAAGACCATCCTGGCCAACATGGTGAAACCCCATTTCTACTAAAAATGCAAAAAATTAGCTGGGTGTGGTGACGCACACCTGAGGCAGGAGGATCGCTTGAACTTGGGAGGCAGAGGTTGCAATGAGCCAAGACTGCGCCACTGCACTCCAGCCTGGCCACAGAGTAAGACTCCACACACACACACACACACACACACACACACACACACACACACACACACACAAAAGCAAGAAAAATGCACATGTTTAAATGATTTTTTGTTTTTTTTGTTTTTTTCATTTTATTATACTTTAAGTTTTAGAGTACATGTGCACAACGTACAGGTTTGTTACATATGTATACATGTGCCATGTTGGTGTGCTGCACCCATTAACTCGTTATCTAGCATTAGGTATATCTCCTAATGCTATCCCTCCCCCCTACCCCCACCCCACAACAGTCCCCAGAGTGTGATGTTCCCCTTCCTGTGTCCATGTGTTCTCATTGTTCAGTTCCCACCTATGAGTGAGAACATGTGGTGTTTGGTTTTTTGTCCTTGCAATAGTTTGCTGAGAATGATGGTTTCCATTTTCATCCATGTCTCTACAAAGGACATGAACTCATCATTTTTTATGGCTGCATAGTATTCCATGGTATATATGTGCCACATTTTCTTACTAGTCTGTCGTTGTTGCACATTTAGGTTGGTTCCAAGTCTTTGCTATTGTGAATAGTGCCGCAATAAACATATGTGTGCATGTGTCTTTATAGCAGCATGATTTATAATCCTTTGGGTATATACCCAGTAATGGGATGGCTGGGTCAAATGGTATTTCTAGTTCTAGATCCCTGAGGAATCGCCACACCGACTTCCACAATGGTTGAACTAGTTTACAGTCTCACCAACAGTGTAAAAGTGTTCCTATTTCTCCACATCCTCTCCAGCACCTGTTGTTTCCTGACTTTTTAATGATCACCATTCTAACTGGTGTGAGATGGTATCTCATTGTGGTTTTGATTTGCATTTTTCTGATGGCCAGTGATGATGAGCATTTTTTCATGTGTTTTTTGGCTGCATAAATGTCTTCTTTTGAGAAGTGTCTGTTCATATCTTTCGCCCACTTTTTGATGGGGTTGTTTGTTTTTTTCTTGTAAATTTGTTTGAGTTCATTGTAGATTCTGGATATCAGCCCTTTGTCAGATGAGTAGGTTGTGAAAATTTTCTCCCATTTTGTAGGTTGCCTGTTCACTCTGATGGTAGTTTCTTTTGCTGTGCAGAAGCTCTTTAGTTTAATTAGATCCCATTTGTCAATTTTGGCTTTTATTGCCATTGCTTTTGGTGTTTTAGACATGAAGTCCTTGCCCATGCCTATGTCCTGAATGGTATTGCCTAGGTTTTCTTCTAGGGTTTTTATGGTTTTAAGTCTAACATTTAAGTCTTTAATCCATCTTGAATTAATTTTTGTATAAGGTGTAAGGAAGAGATCCAGTTTCAGCTTTCTACATATGGCTAGCCAGTTTTCCCAGCACCATTTATTAAATAGGGAATCCTTTCCCCATTGCTTGTTTTTGTGAGGTTTGTCAAAGATCCGACAGTTGTAGATATGCGGCATTATTTCTGACGCCTCTGTTCTGCTCCATTGGTCTATATCTCTGTTTTCGTACCAGTACCATGCTGTTTTGGTTACTGTAGCCTTGTAGTATAGTTTGAAGTCAGGTAGCGTGATGCCTCCAGCTTTGTTCTTTTGGCTTAGGATTGACTTGGCGATGCGGGCTCTTTTTTGGTTCCATATGAACTTTAAATTAGTTTTTTCCAATTCTGTGAAGAAAGTCATTGGTAGCTTGATGGGGATGGCATTGAATCTATAAATTACCTTGGGCAGTATGGCCATTTTCACAGTATTGATTCTTCCTACCCATGAGCATGGAATGTTCTTCCATTTCTTTGTGTCCTCTTGTATTTCCTTGAGCAGTGGTTTGTAGTTCTCCTTGAAGAGGTCCTTCACATCCCTTGTAAGTTGGATTCCTAAGTATTTTATTCTCTTTGAAACAATTGTGAATGGGAATTCACTCATGATTTGGCTCTCTGTTTGTCTGTTATTGGTGTATAAGAATGCTTGTGATTTTTGTATATTGATTTTGTATCCTGAGACTTTGCTGAAGTTGCTTATCAGCTTGAGGAGATTTTGGGCTGAGACATTGGGGTTTTCTAGATATACAATCATGTCATCTGCAAACAGGGACAATTTGACTTTCTCTTTTCCTAATTGAATACCCTTTATTTCCTTCTCCTGCCTGATTGCCCTGGCCAGAACTTCCAACACTATGTTGAATAGGAGTGGTGAGAGAGGGCATCCCTGTCTTGTGCCCGTTTTCAAAGGGAATGCTTCCAGTTTTTGCCCATTCAGTATGATATTGGCTGTGGATTTGTCATAGATAGCTCTTATTATTTTGAGATACATCCCATCAATACCTAATTTATTGAGAGTTTTTAGCATGAAGGGTTGTTGAATTTTGTCAAAGGCCTTTTCTGCATCTATTGAGATAATCATGTGGTTTTTGTTCTTTGGTTCTGTTTATATGCTGGATTACATTTATTGATTTGCGTATGTTGAACCAGCCTTGCATCCCAGGGATGAAGCCCACTTGATCATGGTGAATAAGCTTTTTGATGTGCTGCTGGATTCGGTTTGCCAGTATTTTATTGAGGATTTTTGCATCGATGTTCATCAAGGATATTGGTCTAAAATTCTCTTTATTGATTGTGTCTCTGCCCAGCTTTGGTATCAGGATGATGCTGGCCTCATAAAATGAGTTAGGGAGGATTCTCTCTTTTTCTATTGATTGGAGTAGTTTCAGAAGGAATGGTACCAGCTCTTCTTTTTATCTCTGGTAGAATTCGGCTGTGAATCCATCTGGTCCTGGGCTTTTTTTGGTTGGTAAGCTATTGATTATTGCCACAATTTCAGATCCTGTTATTGGTCTATTCAGAGATTCACTTCTTAGTCTTGGGAGGATGTATGTGTCGAGGAATTTATCCATTTCTTCTAGATTTTCTAGTTTATTTTTAATGGAGGTGTTTATAGTATTCTCTGACGGTAGTTTGTATTTCTGTGGGATCAGTGGTGATATCCCCTTTATCATTTTTTATTGCGTCTATCTGATTCTTCTCTCTTTTCTTCTTTATTAGTCTTGCTAGCGGTCTATCAATTTTGTTGATCTGTTCAAAAAACCAGCTCCTGGATTCATTAATTTTTTGGAGGGCTTTTTGTGTCTCTATTTCCTTCAGTTCTGCTCTGATCTTAGTTATTTCTTGCCTTCTCCTAGCTTCTGAATGTGTTTGCTCTTGCTTTTCTAGTTCTTTTAATTGTGATGTTAGGGTGTCAATTTGGGATCTTTCCTGCTTTCTCTTGTGGGCATTTAGTGCTATAAATTTCCCTCTACACACTGCTTTGAATGTGTCCTGGAGATTCTGGTGTGTTGTGTCTTTGTTCTCATTGGTTTCAAAGAACATCTTTATTTCTGCCTTCATTTCATTATTTACCCAGTTGTCATTCAGGAGCAGGTCGTTCAGATTCTATGTAGTTGAGCGGTTTTGAGTGAGTTTCTTAATCTTGAGTTCTAATTAGATTGCACTGTGGTCTGAGAGACTGTTATAATTTCTGTTCTTTTACATTTGCTGAGGAGTGCTTTACTTCCAACTATGTGGCCAGTTTTGGAGTAGGTGTTGTGTAGTGCTGAAAAGAATGTATATTCTGTTGATTTGGGGTGGAGAGTTCTGTAGATGTCTATTAGGTCCACTTGGTGCAGAGCTGAGTTCAATTCCTGGGTATCCTTGTTAACTTTCTGTCTCGTTTATCTGTCTAATGTTGACAGTGGGGTGTTAAAGTCTCCGATTATTATTGTGTGGGAGTATAAGTCTCTTTGTAGGTCACTAAGGACTTGCTTTATGAATCTGGGTGCTCCTGTATTGGGTATATGTATATATTTAGGATAGTTAGCTCTTCTTGTTGAATTGATCCCTTTACCATTATGTGATGGCCTTCTTTGTCTCTTTTGATCTTTGTTGGTTTAAAGTCTGTTTTATGAGAGACTAGGATTGCAACCCCTGCCTTTTTTTGTTTTCCATTTGCTTGGTAGATCTTCCTCCATCCTTTTATTTTGAGCCTATGTGTGTCTCTGCCCGTGAGATGGGCTTCCTGAATACAGCACACTGATGGGTCTTGACTCTTTATCCAGTTTGCCAGTCTGTGTCTTTTAATTGGAGCATTTAGCCCATTTAGATTTAAAGTTAATGTTGTTATGTATGAATTTGATCCTGTCATTATGATGTTAGCTGGTTATTTTGCTCGTTAGTTGATGCAGTTTCTTCCTAGCCTTGATGGTCTTTACAATTTGGCATGTTTTTGCAGTGGCTGGTACCAGTTGTTCCTTTCCATGTTTAGTGCTTCTTTCAGGAGCTCTTTTAGGTCAGGCCTGGTGGTGACAAAATCTCTCAGCATTTGCTTGTCTGTAAAGTATTTTATTTCTCCTTCACTTATGAAGCTTAGTTTGGCTGGATATGAGATTCTGGGTTGAAAATTCTTTTCTTTAAGAATGTTGAATATTGGTCCCCACTCTCTTCTGGCTTGTAGAGTTTCTGCCGAGAGATCAGCTGTTAGTCTGATGGGCTTCCCTTTGTGGGTAACCCGACCTTTCTCTCTGGCTGCCCTTAACATTTTTTCCTTCATTTCAACTTTGGTGAATCTGACAGTTATGTGTCTTGGAGTTGCTCTTCTCGAGGAGTATCTTTGTGGCATTCTCTGTATTTCCTGAATCTGAATGTTGGCCTGCCTTGCTAGATTGGGGAAGTTCTCCTGGATAATATCCTGCAGAGTGTTTTCCAACTTGGTTGCATTTCTCCCCGTCACTTTCAGGTACACCAATCAGACATAGATTTGGTCTTTTCACATAGTCCCATATTTCTTGGAGGCTTTGTTCATTTCTTTTCTTTTTTCTCTAAACTTCCCTTCTCGCTTCATTTCATTTATTTCGTCTTCCATCACTGATACCCTTTCTTCCAGTTCATTGCATCGGCTCCTGAGGCGTCTGCATTCGTCACGTAGCTCTCGTGCCTTGGTTTTCAGATCCATCAGGTCCTTTAAGGACTTCTCTGCGTTGGTTATTCTAGTTATCCATTTGTCTAATTTTTTTTTCAAAGCTTTTAACTTCTTTGCCATTGGTTTGAATTTCCTCCTGTAGCTCGGAGTAGTTTGATCGTCTGAAGCCTTCTTCTCTCAGCTTGTCAAACTCATTCTCCATCCAGCTTTGTTCCGTTGCTGGTGAGGAGCTGCATTCCTTTGGAGGAGGAGAGGCACTCTGATTTTTAGAGTTTCCAGTTTTTCTGCTCTGTTTTTTTCCCATCTTTGTGGTTTTATCTACCTTTGGTCTTTGATGATGGTGACATACTGATGGGTTTTTGGTGTGGATGTCCTTTCTGTTTGTTAGTTTTCCTTCTAACAGACAGGACCCTCAGCTGCAGGTCTGTTGGAGTTTGCTAGAGGTCCACTCCAGACCCTGATTGCCTAGGTAACAGCAGCGGTGGCTGCAGAACAGCAGATATGGGTGAACCACAGATGCTGCTGCCTGATCGTTCCTCTGGAAGTTTTGGCTCAGAGGAGTACCCAGCCGTGTAAGTTGTCAGTCCGCCCCTACTGGGGGGTGCCTCCCAGTTAGGCTACTCGGGGGTCATGGACCCACTTGAGGAGGCAGTCTGCCCATTCTCAGATCTCAAGCTGCATGCTGGGAGAACTACTACTTTCTTCCAAGCTCAGTTGGAAATGCAGAAATCACCCGTCTTCTGCGTCACTCACGCTGGGTGCTGTAGACTGGAGCTGTTCCTATTTGGCCATCTTGGCTCCTCCCCCCATGTTTAAATGTTTATCAAAAAATAAATAAAGTTTACCTCTGATCTCACCATCTGGAAGTAGCTTTCACTAATGTTTTAGTACATTTTCTTTTACTCTTCTGTGCATGCCAGTACATACACACACACACAGACACATAACACATTCATTCTTTATGGACGCTAATCAACAGTATGTACAGTTTTACATTGTGTTATTTTTATGTAACAAAATGAAGTTTCGAAGGCATGGTTTTATTCAGTATTATCCCACTTAATTAACCGTTGTTCTATTTATAATCATTCTGGATTTTTAATTTACACAGTGTTAATTGTAGCTTCATTAGTGCTATGATTTTTTATTTCTTCATTTAGTCAACAAATCTTTATTAATTACTCACTCTGTACCAAACATTTTGACACAACTAACCAGGAAGATGTGTGTCTTGAGGAGATTACAGCTTTACAGTGAGAAAGACTAGTAAGCAATACTTTCATTCAATTCAGGTCACTCAATTCTTTGAGGGAAAGGGGGTAAGCAACTACTTCCTAGGGGGTAACTGGGTCTTGAACTGAGTCTCAATATATGAATAAATGAGAGGAGGATACATGTGAAGTAGCAGGAAATAAATTAGAAAGGCAGGCAGGACTCAGATCATGGGGAGGGAGAGAGAGAAGGGGAGTGAAGGCTTACTTGCCATTATATAAGGAATGGGTATCACTGAACATTGCAAATGTGCATGGTGTTGGGGGGAGGGGAGTAAGAACATAGTAGATTTGCATTTTTTAAATGATTATATAACAGTAGAAGATTTATTTCTCAGGCATAAAACTTAAAGTGGGAAAGTTACTTGAAGTGAGAAATCTACTGGAAGAGTCCACACAGGAAATGAGATCTAATATTACACTACTAGAGGAGAGAGATTAACTTATGGCTATATTGAGAAGATAGTTTATGATATTTGACAACTAGTTGGCTGTCAGAAGGTGAAGGGTAAGGAGAGACTCAAATTGCTCTCAGTCTTCTGGCTTGCTATTATTTTATGAGGTGTAGAATATAAGAGGAGGGGCAAGTTCAGTAGAAAGTGTGGATTTGGGTGTGTTTGGCTTGTGTTCCCTGTTGATCATCCAGGTAGAGGTGACCAGTTGTCAGCTAGTGCTGCCATCACAGAATATCACAGACTGGGTGGTATAAACAACAGAAATTTATTTTCTCCATTTTAGGATCTGGAAGTCTGAGATTAGGGTGCCAGCATGGGCAGGTTCTGGTCAGAGTCTTTTTCCTGACTTGCAGTGGTCACTTTTTCTCTGTGTTCTCACATGCAGGAGAGAGTGCAAGTTATCATTCTACCTTTCTCTTCTTATAAGGTAACAGTCCTGTTGGATTAGGGCCCCACTCTTATGACCTCATTTAACCTTAATTATCTCCTACAAACCCTAGCTCCAAATACATTCAAAATGTTTAGAGCTTCAACCTATGAATGAATTTGGGAGAGTAGGGATATTTCAGTCCATAACAGCTAGACATCAGTCTTGAACTTAGTGACACCTAAGAATTGGAAGTATAGTTGGGTATGCCTCATCATGAGAATGGATAGGTACACCCAATCGAGCATCCGGAGAAGGAATGGAAAAGGGTCAAGAACTGAAGCATTTATGTTGTTCTCAGGAGAAGAGAAGATAGCAAAAAAGACTGAAAAGGTAGGGTGAAGGAGCTGGAGGACAAGCAGGAAGCAGGATGCCTCTGCATGTAAGGAAGCAGATAATTTTATCTAGAGTGGAAGATTCAAAAGTATTAAATGATATGTAGAATATCATATTCTTTTTACCTATCTAAACAACTATTTTACCTATCTAAACAAGTCAGATCCCAATCTTTTGCTCTTGACAGCATATGGTATTGGGAATATTCACTCATTCCTCACCTCTTCCTTGTTCCTAGTTTCTTTTTAGCTATTCCATCTGCCTTGTTTATCACTGTTCTGTGTTACATTGCTTGTAGTGAACAATGTCAGTAACGTAACATTGGACTACTTAACAATATAGAAACATTGCTTTGTGTCTGCTTTTCCATATTCAGTAGATTGATATTTTTAATGTTTGATCATTTTTAAAAAATGATCCCTGACTAGAGATAGCATGAGATTAGCAGGGCAAACTGTCGAATGGACAACATATACCTAATTAATGAAAATATGTTATAGATGAGTCACACTTCAGACATTAATCCATAATGGGTCTCTATTTGGAGTTGTTTGAATGACATGTGAGATATATAATCCAAAAGAAATAAGCTTAGAACTGTTTAAGCATGACCTTTCCTAGGAGAAATAAAAAATAAGTTAAAAAGTTATTTTCAGAAGGAAATATATTAAAGTCATTCCTAGAGTTAAGAAAAGAATGTTAGGAAAATATTTACAAAATAAATTGTATAATATCTATAAATATCATGGGGGATAAATAAATAGGAACTGGGAATATATCTCCAGGTATTTTCACAGAACAGCTTAATGACAAAGACATTTCCTAAGGCTTAAATGTAGCATTATTTTGAATTGTAAAAAGACAACAAATTAAACAGTATTTGTTGTAAAAATGTATCTCATATATTATTACATATTGCACATCAAGAATATTTTTAAATAAAGTGAATATTATATACTCGCTTTTTTGGTAAATATTGCCTAAGTAAAACATACAATTTTGGCTTTTGCTCTCAAAAACAAGCCTTGATGTGCACACAGTTAGAGCTGCGACTGTAGAGCACTATTGCCAAAGGAGGATGGTAAACTTTTCAGTAATGCTGAACCTACTAGCGTGTGAGGGCATTTAGCATACTGATAGTGATATGAACTAAAGGAAATGTTGACACTGTCCTAAATAATATTCTTTTTATTTTTAAAGTTACTTCCTTGAAGGCAAAATCATAACCTGCATAAGCTCATAGTACATTAAGGCTTATTATTTTGCCTTTGCTATATTGCTAAGAAAATAAATTTGGTTATCCTGATAAATTTATTCTTCACAAGGCCATGAATATTATTTTTTCCCAATAGCTTATAATTTTATTATAGCTTGCAAGTTGATTGTTTTCTTTTGTTATTGGCTTCAGTATTTCCCCAAGCATAAAATTTTAGATAAGTATTCCACTTGGGGGATTATTGTGCCATCCTCTTCTTTCTACTTAAAGATGCACTTTTTAAAACGGCAATGTATTTGTCCTTCTCTTCTTCCAAATCTCAAAAATACTCAGTGAATTCTAATAAATAATAGATTAAGTTTTCTGTGATTATTTTAGCCAGTTCATTAGGGAATTGGGGTCTTGCAGAAGTATATAAATTTTTTAATTGTTTAACTTGACTCACATTTTTATTAGAATTTGTTTATATTTTAATCAAGGCTTTTCATTCTGCTGCATTTTGTGGGGCATAATTATGTTTTCATAAGGACATATATGATACAACATATGAATTAATAACTAAACAGGAGACTTAGACTTACTTCCAAATCCTTTTTGAGGATAAAAAAATAATGGGAAAGAGCATCACTTCTAGCTGTAGAACAGCAAGCAAAAAAACTAGAAAGTTTGCAGATTCACAACTTTTCATGGAGTCATCAGAGAACTAAGGTCGTAGGGCAACCAGCTAACCTGAAACTTAGGAGGAGACATGAGCACTTGTTTTCCTGGAGCAGATACTGCCAGATAGCAGTAAGAATTTAGCTGAATTTTTAAGTCGAATTGGTAAAGCCAGTTGTGCACTAGAAAGATAATATAGCAACCCTATTGACTGCAGATATGAGGGGAATTTGCACTGCAGTCTTTTCTCCATAGACTTCAATGTATACTCAATATCTATAATATTTATAGATATTATACAATTTATTTTGTAAATCAAAAAAAAAAAAAAAAGATCGTCTACAGCCCTCTGAAAGCATCTCTTCTGATACAGGCATAGCATAAGAAGTACAGGAATCACTCCGAGAAAGGCAGGAATCATCACCTGGATCCTTCTCCCCTTCCCCCTACAGAAGAAAAGCCTTAAACTGCTAAGTGTAGGACAGCTATTGTCTGAAAAACAGTGTAAAAGGAAGACCTAAAGTTGAGAGTGGAGCAGATACTGAGAAAAGAAATGGCTATCCATGTATTACCCATCCTCAACACAAGAGAATACTAGAGGAATTTGAAGCCTGTGATGCCAGGTAACTTTGGTAACAACAAATCCCAAACCTAGCTTAACTCCTGAGTAGAATGATTCAAACCGCAGATCTAGCAGAAGGACAGTCATTCTCATTTAAAGACATAAACACTATTTACTCATTCTTTAATGTCCTACGCAAGATATTTAGTTTTAAACAAAATGTACAAGACGTGTACAATGGCAAGAAAAAAATGGGCACACTGCCAAAATAAAAAGAATTTTATAAAAGCAAAGATATGACTTACATAATAAAACTGTGAGACAGAAAAGTTTTAATTACTGTCATTAATATTTTAAAGACTCAAATGGAAAAAGTGAACAATATACACATCACATAGGTAATTTTAGCAGGCAGCTGGAAAGCATAAGAAAGAGTCAGATGGAAATACTAGAACTGAAAAACATAGCAACAAAAGTGAAGAATGCATTTGATAGGCTCATCAATATGGTTGGTACACCTGAGGACAGAATTATTATACTTGAAAACGGGTAAATTGAGAGCTGAGGTAGAATAGTGTATTTGCAATCTTCTGGGAAGTAGTCTTAAATATGTGTACTTGTAATCCCAGATGGAGAAACAGAGAACAGGACCAAAGAAATATTTAAGGAAATAATGGCAAATAATTCTCTGAAATTAATGACAAAGAAATTAAGGAGGATTTAATGAGAAAAAAATCAATGAGAGACACCAAAACAAATTGAAGAAGCTCAGAGAACGATACACACATAAACACATGTATAAAAAGGAACCCATATTCAAATTGCTAAACACCGAAGTTAAAAAGAAAATTTGGAAGACATCCCAAGAAAAAGACATATTATGTACAGTGGACTTGTTATCAGAAACAAGGCAAGTCAGAAGACAAAAGGGTGACATCTTGAAAGTGATGAAAGAAAACAACTCTCAACTCCGAATTTTATAACCACTGAAAGTTATCATGATGAAGGAGAAATGAAGATGTTGTTTGACATATAAAAATGGGGAGAATTTATTGTCAGCAGAGCTTCTATATAAGAAATATTAAAGGAGGTTCTTTAGGGATATGGAATGTAATACCAGAGTTAAACTTGGTTATTGATATGGTTTGGTTCTGTGTCCCCACCGAAATCTCACATCAAATTGTAATTGCCACATGTCAGGGGAGGGACCTGGTTGGCAGTTATTGGATCATGGGTGCAGATTTCCCCCTTGCTGTTCTCATGATGGTGAGTGAGTTCTCATGACATCTGGCTTTTAAAATTTGTAGCACTCCCACCTTCACTTGCCCTCTCTCCTGCTCTTCTGTGGAAAGATGTACCTTGTTTCCCCTTCACCTTCTGCCATGATTATAAGTTTCCTGAGGCCTCCTAGTCATGCTTCCTGTCAAGCCTGTGGAACTGTGTGTCAATTAACCCTCTTTTCTTCATAAATTACCCAGTCTCAGTTAGTTCTTTACAGCAGTGTGAAAACAGACTAGTATAGCTATACAGAAAGAAGTGAAGGGCGCTGAAAATAAAATGAATGAAGGTAAAAATAAAACATGTTTCTCATATTTTTAGTTGCTCTAGAAGATAACTGACCACTTATTAAAAAGTAATAGCAATGCGATATTTATTTATCTTACATGTAAAAATAAAATATGTGACAAAATACTACAGATGTTGTGTAGGAGAAGTATTGGGATATAGTGTTACAACATTCTTATAATACATATTAAACAATATAACATTTGGGAGTTGACTAAAGATATGTAACTTAAACTAGGGTAAGTATTAGACACATTTTGAAAAATTATGTATTGTAAGTGAATACCAGAGGTAATATGGTATCATAAAATATATTTAATCAAAAAAAGAGAAGAAGAGGAAAAAAATAAACAACATATGGAACAAGTAGAGAACAGACAGAAAGATGGTAGATTTTTAATTTAACAGTGTTAATAATTACATTAAATGAAAATAGTCTAAACACATTAATTTAAAAACTGAATGACAGATTGGGTAACAAGAGCAAGATCCAAATATATACTGTGTACAAGAAACCCACTTAATGTGTATGGATATATATAGAAAAGTAAAAGAATAGAGAAAGACAGATTATGGAAGCATCAACCAAAAAAACTAGAATTGCTATATTAATATCATTAGACTTTAAATAACATATATTAACAAGGTTAAACATGAACATTAAATAATGACAAAGAAATCAATTTTCCAAGAAGACACCTTCAGTCCCAAAAAACTATTTAAATATATATGTACTTAACAACATAAATTCAAAATATATAAGGTGAAAATGAATAGACTTGAAAGGATAAATAGATAAATCCATAATTATATTGGAAGGCTGTAACAGTCCTTTCTCACTAATTAATAAAACAACCAAATAGGAAATGAGTAAGTATAAAGAAGACCTGAGCAACACAATAAGCACGATCAGCCAATTTGATCTAATTTATATTTATATAACAGTCTAAGCAACAATGCAGCTAAAGCAACTCTTCAAGGAAAACTTTATAGATTTGATGCTTATATAATATCAGAACAGAAAAAAACTAAAATTCATGATCTAATCTACCATCCTAAGATACTATAAAAGTAAGTGCAAATTAAATCCAGGACAAGCAGAAGGAAAAACTAATAAATATAGAAGCAGCAATCAAATAAATTGGAAACAGACTAATCAAGAGAATGAATGAAATTAAAAGCTGGTATTTGAAAAAAGGCATTAAAATATAATAAACCTATTTTTGAAAGATATACAACACGAACTTTCACTAAAAATATAGGTTATGTGAGTAGTCCTGTTTGTATTTAAAAATCACTTAATGAAGAAGCCTGTAGGCTCAGATAGATTAACTAGTGAAGTCTATTAACCTTTTAAGAAAAAAATAATATAAATTCTACCCAGTCACTTCCCGAAAGGAGAAGTAGCACTTTCGATTTATCTAATACTGAAACCAGCCACAGACATCACCAAGAAAAGAAATTGCCAACCAACACACCAATACCTCTCATGAATATAGATACAAGAATCTTCAATAAAATTTTAAGAAAAATCATCTAGTAGCATATTAAAAGGATATTATATTATGAGAAAATTGTATTTATCCAGAAAATCCAAAATTGATTTAACATTAGAAAATCAATGTAATTAATCATATTAATAAAGAAGAAAATTCATATGATGATCTCATAAATGCAGAAAAAGCATTTGACAAAATTCAACATCTATTCCTGTTAAACTTCTCAAAATACTAAAAAATAGGAAGATAATTCGTTAACCTTAAATAAGACACTTATTATAGAAATAACTGGCATCATATTTATTAGTGGAAAGCTCAGTGCTTTTCCACTAAGATCAGAAACAAGGTATATGAACCTACATTTCCTTTTTTTTTTTTTTTTTTTTTACATTGTCCTTGTGGCATGCAACCTTACTAAAATCACGTATTTGTTTTAGGATTTGTTTTATAGATTGTTGGGGATTTTCTACATAGAAACCATTACTGTATGTAAATAGATATTGGGTGCGAAAGATACAGTCACAGAACAAACCTATACCATTATTATTAATTAATTTTCTTAAAAAGGTGCAGAAAATTCAATAGAGAAATGTATTTTCAATGAATTGTGCAGAAAGCAATTAGAGATCTATATCTAAAAAATGAACATAGACCCATGATTCACACCTTATATAAAGGTTAAATCAAAATGTATTATAAGTCTGAATGTAAAGCAACATGTAAAACTTTTGAAGAAATACAATATTTGTAACTTGGAGTTCAACAAATTCTTAGATATGATACCAAAGTCATCATCCATAAAAGAAAATATAAATATATTTAACTTTAAGAATATAAATTTTTGCTCTTGAGAAGACATTATTAAGACAATGGGAAGCAAACCACAGACTGGGAGAACATATTTTCAAGTCAATTAATTGACAAAGGATTTATATTCAGAATATATAAAGAACTCATACAACTCAATAATAATTAAAAACTATCTAATTAAAACAAATGAATAAAAAATTAACAGGTACTTCACCAAAAAAAGACATATGAATGGCAAATAAGCACATGAAAATATGCTCAACCTCATTATCTGTTAGGAAATGGAAATTTAAAACAAAATGAGATACCACTACACACCTATTATTATAACTTTATAAAAACTGAAAGGGGCCGAGCGTGGTGGCTTACGCCTGTAATCCCAGCACTTTGGGATGCTGAGGCGGTTGGATCATGAGGTCAGGAGTTGGAGACCAGCCTGGCCAATATAGTGAAACCCCATCTCTACTAAAAATACAAAAAATTAGCCAGGCATGGTGGCAGGTGCCTGTAATCCCAGCTACTCGGGAGGCTGAGGCAAGAGAATCTCTTGAACCCGGGGGGTGGAGGTTGCAGTGAGCTGAGATTGTGCCATTGCACTCCAGCTCTGGCGACAGAGCAGGACTCCATCTCAAAAAAACAAGCAAACAAACAAACAAAAAAAACCCTGAGTGCTGGGGAGAACCTGGAGTGACTGGAGCCCTCAGACATTGCTGGAGAGAATGCAAATGGCTGTCATGACACTTTGGGAAACGGTTTGGTAGTTTCTTATAAAGTTAAACTTACTTTATGACTCAGCCATCACACTACAAGGTATATACTCAAGAGAAATGAAAACTTAGGTTCACACAAAATCTTATACGTAAATATTATAGCAGCTTTATTTATAATCACCAAAAATTGGAAGCAATTAACATGCATTCAACCAGTGAATGCATAAACAAATGGTGGTATAACCTTAAAATGGACACTCAGCCCTAAAAACTAAATGAACTATTGATATACACACACAGGGTAACAAACTACATTTTTCCATTTATATGACATATTGGAAAATATCATGTAAATAAAATGTTTTGAACAAAATTAGAGTCAGTAGGTGCAGTTTTGGTTTCACTTGGCTTTCTATTTATTATTATTTGTATAAATTTAAGGCATACAAGAGCAATTTTGTTACATGGATATATTGCATAATGGTAAAGTCTGAGCTTTTAGTATAACCATCACTTGAATAGTGTACGTCGTACTCATTAAATAATTTCTCATCCTTCACTACCCTGTCACACTCCCATCCTTTCAAGCTTTTCCACTGTCCATTATCCACACTCTGTGTCCATTTATTAATGTACACATTGTTTAGTTCCGACTTATAAGTGAGAAAATGTGGTATTTGGCTTTCTGTTTCTGAGTTATTTCACTTAAGATAATGGCTTCTAGTTCATCTGTGTTGATACAAAAGATATGATTTCAGTCTTTTTATGGCTGAATAGTAGTCCATTGAAAAAATGCTCAACACCGCTAATCACAGATAACTGCAAGTTAAAACCGTCGTGAGGTATCATCTTACACCAGTCAAAATGGCTATTATTAAAAAGTCAAAAAATAACAGAAGTTAGCAAAGATAAGGAGGAAATGGAATACTTATACACGTTTAGTGGGAATGTAAATTAGTACAATGTCTATGGAAAAAAATATGATGCTGTCTCAGAGAACTAAAAATAGAACTACCATTTGATCAAGAAACCCACTACTGGGTATATTCACTTGTATATTTATCACAGCACTATTCACAATAGTAAAGATATGGAGTCAACTAAGTGTTTATCAATGAATGATTGGATAAAGTAAATGTGAAGTATATATACACACACACATAGACACACTTGGATTTCTTATTGCTCATCTCGTCTCTTATGGTATGTGCGTTTGTATGTTTGTGTGATGCTTTTATTAGTAAGCATTTTACATTAAAATATTATTTGCCATATAAATGAATGCGAATAACCTGTAGCTTAATTATTTTTATGTGGTATAAGTATTTATTAGAAATCAAATGGACGTTGAAATTTAGTATCATATAGAACTTTAAATTAACCCCGGAAGTAAGTTATATTTCCTCCACACTCGTTAATGTCACTGCAAGTTGTTTCTCCATCACAGAATATAAATGGGAGTATATAGCAAATGTCTAGCATGCTATGTACAATAAATAATGTATGATTAATTAGTCATTTTTTAAGTGGAAAATTATTTTAAAGTAGTTTGAACTATGATTTAATTTTTAAATACACTTAAACAGTATGTTAGATTAGCAAAGGCAGAAATATTTTCATCACTTTGTTATTTATTGATGCCTAGACCAATGTTTGGAACATAGTAGACCTCTGATTAATATTTGTTGAATTATTTATTGAATACATTTGGAATAATAATACATCATAACTAAATATAACAAAACCATTTTTCTAAGGTATACTTTAGGAAAATCTAGAATAAATATGAATTTTGGGGTTGTAGCATTGTTATATTATGAATATGGATTGAACACTCATTAATAGGAGAGAGAGGAATAAAGAATAAATAATCTTTGAGATGAAGATATTTCCATGTCTAATATTGTAGGTAACAAAAATGATAGACTTATATCTTTTAGAAAGAGTTACCTGGCTTTCTATTATGTACTGCTTTTCTGATGATTTCATTGCTTTAGTATTTTTAACTTGTTTCTAATAAGAGCTGATTGGTTATTTCTCCCCTTAGTATATATAAATGTAGCTATTCTAAATAATCATTTATTAACACAAATTAAATTTTTATTTCATTTATTGATACAGTTTGCCAGCGATTAGTGTCCGAGTTAAGAAATACTGTTATAGCAACAGCAATTTCCCTAGAGGACTTCTTAAATCATAAAGTGAGAGTATTTCAAATTATATTTGCTTCACTTAAATGTATCTGTTCTGAAAATGGCAACATTGATCCCATGATATACCTGATATATTCTAATTGCCTAGAACGTAAACCACAAATTCTGCATTGCAGATACTATCACAGTAAATGCTGCTTAACTTATGCAAAATTTATAGAATGATGACAAAACAAAAGCTTCTGAGAGGATAAGTGTTTCACCACAAGCGGTTTCTGTATCTGACTCCATTTCTAAACTGTAAATCAGCCTTAAATTATCATTGAGTCCTATGATAGACACTAGTAATGGTAAGAAAATATGCCATTTTAAGCTATATTCTTATTGACCTGTATGTTTATATGAGTGTGAATATGTGTGTACCTGTGTGTACATGTTTATGTATGCACACCTTTTTTACACGTTATTTTTTAACTAAAATATTTTTTCTTTACTTTACTTTACTTTACACCATCATGCATTGTTACTTTGACCTCTACAACCTAACAAATATCTGCCCTCTAATCCAATGGGAAGGAACAAAATCCTGTAAGAGTGTAGGAAACCTGAGGATGGTCTACAAGGTTGGCTGCCCATTGGAAACACTTGTGGAATTTTAAAGAGATATCGATATCTTTGTTCCACCCAAGGAATTCTGATTAAAAATTTATTGTATGTACATTGGATATCTGTATTTAAAAAAAATCTCCCCAAGTGATCCTAATATGCAGTAAAATCTGAAAATCCTTCCTCTAGAAAACAAAAATAAAAGTGCCTAATAAACAATGATTACTGTGTATTCTGAAACCAGAAACAACCATTTTCTTAACCTTTTATGGTTTAAAAAAGTATGGTAGGAAAGTTATTTTAAAAGGAATTAAAGGTGATTTTATGTGACATATGTTTATTTTTTTAATGCAATCTTCATTATAATGGTTTTGAATTAAGGTATAACCTGTTTTTCTTGTGGAGTGTATGCAATAGAAAATCACCCAACTTAAGAGTCAGAAAACATGAGTGTGTGTGGTGGTTCTGCCACTTCTTAAATATATTGCCTTGGCTGGGTTCTCCTATAAGACTTACTTTCTTATTGCCCATGGTAGTACAATTGTTATAGCATTTCAAAAATTAAATGGTGTGTTTATAATAAAGGCTATATATAACAAACCCAAAGCTAACATGGGTTTCCCATACTGAACAGGCAAAAGTTGAAAGCATTCCCTCTAAACACTGGAACTAGACAAGGATGCCTCCTTTCACCATTCTTACTCAACATAGCACTGGAAGTCCTAGCCAGAGCACTTAGGCAACAGAAAGAAATAAAGGTATCCAAACTGGGAAAGAGGAAGTCAAATTGTACCTTTTTGCACATGACATGATATTAGATACAGAAAAACATAAAGACTCAACCAAGAAACTCTTGGAACTGATAAATGAATTCAGTAAAGTTGTAGGATACAAAATCAACATATAAAAATCATTATCATTCATATATATCAACAATGAATTAGCTGGAAAAGAAGTCAAGAAAGTAATCTTTTTTATAAAAGCCACAGCAAAAAATTACATACCTAAGATTACATTTTACCAAGGAGGTGAAAGATCTCTACAATTAAAAGTATAAAACACTGGTGAAAGAGGACATAAAAATATTGTAAGATGACTAGGCACAGTGGCTCATGCCTGTAACCTCAGCACTTTGGGAAGCTGATGCAGGAAGACTGCTTGAGCCTGGGAGTTCAAGACCCACAACATAGCAAGGGACAACTCTACAAATTTTTTTTAAAATTAGTCAGGCCTGGTGTCATGCACCTGTAGTCTCAGCCACTGAGGTGGCAGGATTGCTTGAACCCGGGAGGTTGATACTGCAGTGAGCCATATTTGTGCCACCTCACTACAGCCTGATAATAAGAAAAGAAAGAAAAAATAGTAAGACAACCCACGCTCATGGATTGAAAGAATTAATATTGTTACAATGACCATACTACCCAAAGCAATCTCAGGTTCAGTGCAATCCCTATTAAAATTTCAATGACATTTTTCACAGAATTAGAAAAAATATTAACATTTGAATTGAACCACAAAACACTTTGAATGGCCAATGCCAAGCAAAAATAACAAAGTCAGAGATATCACATTACCTGAATTCAAAATATATGACAAAGGGATAAGTAACCAAGCAGCATGATATTGGTATAAAAACAGACACATAGACCAATAGAACAGAATAGAAAACTCAGATATAAATTCATGCATTTATAGCCAACTGAATTACAAGAAAGGTGCCAAGAATGTGCGCTGGGGAATGGGTACCCTTTTCAATAAAAGCTAGGAAAACTGGATATATGCATGCAAGACAACGTAAGTAGACTCCTGCCACTTGTCAAATACAAATATCAACTCAAAATGTATTAAATATTTAAATGTAAGGCCTGAAAATATAAAATCACTAGAAGAAAACATAGGAGTAATGCTTCAAGACATGAGTCCAGGCAAAGATTTTATGGGTAGGACTATGAAAGCATAGGCATCAAAACAAAAATCAGCAAAAGGGACATTATAAGCTAAAAACCTTCTGTACAGCAAAGGAAAAAACCGAGTCAAGACACAACCTGCAGAATAGGAGAAAATATTTGCAAATTATTAGTCCAAGAAGGGATTAATATCCAGAATATATAAGGAACTCAAACAACTCAATATTTCCCAAACAAATGATTCTATTAAAAATGGACAAAAAAATCTGAGTAGACATTTCTCAATAGAAGACATACAGATGGCCAATAGGCATATGAATAAATGTTCAGCATCACTCATCATCAAGGAAATGCAAATCAAAACCACAATGAGGTATCACCTAACCTCAGTTAGAATAGCTATTCTCAAAAAGACAAATAATAACAAAGGCTGCTGAGGATGCAGAGAAAAATGAAGTTTTATACTCCATTGGTGGGAACATCAATTAGTACAGCCATTATGGAAAACAGTATGGAAGTTCCTCAAAAAAACTAAAAATAGAACTACCATATGATCCAGTAATCCCACTAATGGATATTTATCCAAATGAAAATAAATCAGTAGATCAAAGAGTTATCTTTACCTC
This sequence comes from Homo sapiens, assembly GCF_000001405.40. Lineage (NCBI taxonomy): Eukaryota > Metazoa > Chordata > Mammalia > Primates > Hominidae > Homo > Homo sapiens. The sequence continues at coordinate 154,039,311 of NC_000002.12, forward strand.
CATGCTTATTGCAGCACTATTCACAATAGTCAAGATATAGAATCAACGTAAGTACTCCTCAACAGATAAATGGATCAAGAAAAATGTGGTATGTATACACAATGGAATATTATTCAGCCATTAAAAGAAGGAAATCAGGTCGTCTGCAGCTACATGAGTGAACCTGGAAGACCTTATGTTAAATTAAATGAATCAGGCACAAAAAGATAAGTACTGCATGTTCTCACTCAAGTGGAAGCTAAAAAAACAAAAATGAGTTTATAGAAATAGAGAGTAGAATTACAGTTGTTAGAAGCTGGGATGGGTAGCAGGGAGGAGAGGAGAGGGAGAAGTTACCTAATGGATGCAGAATTACAACTAGATGGGAGGAAAAAGTTCTAGTGTTCTGTAGCACTGTAGGGTGAATATACCTAACAATAATTTATTGTATATGTTAAAAATACTAGAAGAGAGGATTTTAAATGCCTCCTACAAAAAGAAATGAGAAATATTTGAGGTGATGGATATGCTAATTACCCTAATTTGGTCATTACACATTGTATACATGTATAGGGATATTGTATGCTCCATATATATGTACAATTATTATGTGTCAACTAAAAACAAAAGAAAAAAGTGTCTATAATTATTCAGGTATAATTTTACACTGTTATCTGTAGCTTACTCTGGCCTCTTATGTTGACAAACTGTGTTTTTTAAGTTCACTTTACTGAATGACATATTTACTGTTAACTCATTTCATGTAGTTTTTATTAAATAATTATTCAATGCCTACTACATATCTGTCAGACACTTGATAAGTGTTGAATGCACAGTGTCACGTGAGACATGGTTCCTGTCTCCAGTGAGTTATTGTCCAATGCAGAAGAAAGATACACACACACATGCACATGTGTATTTTGGAGGATAGGGTGAACTAAAAGTCCAGGATTGCATAAGTAAAATGTGAAAATGCTCAAATCAAGAAGGTCATTGTGAGTTCTTTAAAGCCCAAACCAAATGTGTTCAAATCTAAGTCATCTTTCTGATGTATCTTAGGCATTGAAGTTTTGGTGCACTGAGTAGAATACATCGTGATTATGAAATGTTTTCATTGGGACGTAGTATAAATTAATTGATAATGGTAAAGACTTTGAAATCATATTGTCTTGGTTCAATTTTTTCCCCTCAACACATCAGCTGTATGATTATGGATAGGTTTTTAACCTTTGGGTTTCACTGTCCTCATATGTAAAGTAAGCAAATAGTGCTAATACTTCTTGGACTTGTTATGAGAATGAATAGGTAATACCTACAAAATGTTTTGAGTGTTGTCCTTACACATAGGGATTAGACAATATCCACTATTATTTTAAAGTTACTTTAATGATATTGCTTATTTGGGAAGCAGATTTTTTTTGCCTTTTCTATATCAGAATGGTTAGTTGAAAATATTTTACTTTTAAAATAATTATTGAACTGGGAAAATGATTTCATCAGCAAGATACAGAAAAAAGTTGGCAAAGGTAAAAATACTTTTATTTTTCATCAAAATATTAATATATTATTTTTCTGATTTATGGCTCAGACCTATTCATTATTATTCCTTAGATGCTCGAATCCTCCATACAATGTGGTACTTTTAAAGAGAACATCTGTTTTTGTACAAAGTGTTGCTATGAAACTTCAGTAGGAAAACATAGCAAACACATATACAAAGTTTAGTACTGCAGCTAAGGCATGGGATTATATTGGTTTGGTTTGTTCATTAAAAAAAGGAAACAATTATTAGCTAAACCACACATTTCAGATGAATAAGGATAAGAAATTCAGGGATTATATTGTTCTTTGGTAAAAAATCTTTGTTTTATAGATTTCAGTGCCTTGAAGGCTCATAGGAAATGTAGCTTCTTTTATGTCTAAATGTGTTTTGTTATAGAAATTACTCAAGCTATCTTAAATGAAGACCTCAATTGAAGTTTTTAGACTATATTATTTTGCTTGTATTCCACAATAACTGTGTTATTACTTCCAATCTTTGATTCTGAGAAATCTGGCCTTTATTTTTTAGAGAGAGAAAATCTCTTGAGAGTTTTGAGATTAGTGTAGAAATATGCAATTTTTTATTCCTTCTAAATTTCACGCTTTTATATTAGAAGATGTTCTGTGAGGTTTTTTTCTGGACAGATATTAAGACAGAATCAATCAAAACCAACGTAAACACACTGTTAAATTCACACACAAGAAAAGAGGTGTGTCATCAATTAATTTACATAAATTATCTAGCTGGCTTTGAAACCTATTGACATGTGAGAAGTTCAGAGTTCCTTCAGCATAGGGCATTCTGTTAAGAATATACATGTTTAAACAGACAAAAGAATTTATATAGATACCATAGACATTTTCTGTAATGATATGAAGTATAATTTGTATTTACTTTCTTCAAATATGGGAATCTCTAATGTCTTTCAAAATTACCATGATGTTGAAGACAATGTTTATAGTGATCTCATATACAAGTATAGATTTTACTGCTCTAGTGATATCATTTACAAGTATAGATTTTACTGCTCTTTCTTCTTTGTTTCTGTGCAATCTGTTACACCAACCAAAAATAAGATTGAACCGAGATATGATTTTTAGTAAACTTGGTGCTTAGTAAATTTATTTAGATACTTAGTAAATTAACTAAAATTAATTTAGGTGTTTAGTATATTTATTGAATGAAATCTAGCCTAATATTTATAACTGGAATGTTTTATAATTGATTTATAAAAATCACAAGTGATGTTCTTTTTATACAGTATCTATGTCTTTATCAAGTCATAGAGATTATATACTTAGTATAAAGAGCAACATCAAGATTTTGATGGCTGGAAAGAACACTAGAGGAGGACCCCTGAATATCCATTTTCACTTAACTTATCTGAGTCTGTTACCTTGAGCATAAAACGGAAACGATGACATTACCCCAGTAATTATAGTTTTGTGTTTTTCCCCAGTCACCTTAGAAATATGTGCTAAGTACCTCATTATGTGCTGCTCATAATTTTAAATACTGTACTGAGGATTTGCTCCCTACTTTCAAAGAAATACCTTATAGTCAGTGGGGGAAAAAAAACTAGCAGACTTTTACTACAAGGTAATATGTTATGACATTATAATTTGGTTTTATTTGTTGGTCGCAGCTTAAATATCACCTCTTCAGAGGAATTTCCTGATCACCCAGTCTAAAGCAGCCTTCCAGACAATATCATAATCTTTTTTAAAGTGCACAGCACTATCTAAATTTTCTTTCTTATTTGTTCATTATTTTTCTGTCTCCCCTCAAATAAAATGTCAGTCTTATGGCTGCAGATACTATGTTATTCTTTTCACTTCTTTACCCTAGTCCTTATCATTATGCATATATATATATATATATATATATATATTAGGTTTTCATTAATATTTATTGAATAAATGAATGAAAGGAAACTTAAAAATACTTGTGCCATGGCAGCATAGATAAAGAGACTTTATTAATTTAAATAATTTTTTTTCTACTATGTTCCAGAGACATACTGTTTGCCCCGGGGAATACTTTGTTAATCTTAGTCTGGCGGGAAGGCATTGATCAGCTTTATAATTGCAAACAATTGTAAGTGCTATGGAGAAATAGTGAAGGGTGGCATATGACTATGTTGAAGAATAAGGTATTTCCCTAATATGGGAGATTAGAAGCCTTTTGAGGAAGTTTCACTTGAGCTGAAATTTGAACTGTTTGAACTAACCAAGTAAAAGCAATGAGAACATCATATGCAAAGGCCCTGTGATGATGACAGCAGTAGTCTTTGAAGAAAGTGAAAGAAAACCAGTATGGATTAACTGTAATGGGTGAGCACTTGGTAGAGTGGGAGAGATATAACTGAAATGCTGGACACAGAACTTGTAAGTCACTGTGCTGGTCCATATTAGTAGTTGATATCGGAAAGCAAAATGTATACAGGAGAAACAGTGTAAATAAAGCAAAAGAGTAAAAAAAAGTTAGGGATGCATACAGTGTTTGTCCTTTGACATAACTGGGTTACTCTGAAATATCAACATTTTCAAAATCTCTTCTGTCAACACTACTATAAGGACTTTTATATATATATATATATATATATATATATATATATATATATACACACATGTATACATAAAAACATGTATTGCAAATAGAAATAAGGTCTCTATTTAAAAATCTAACAGTTATTTGCTAATCACTTATTTTTATACATATAGGCATTAGAGAAAAAATAAATATTCATCAAAGTGAATTAAAAACAAGTTTACAGTATAATCAGTAGAGAATAGGTCACATTAAATACAAAATGTATAATTAAGTCAAAATATTCATTGAATGTCTGACTTGCATAGGAAGAGACACAAGGTCTAGTACTATTTTCAAAAAATCAGCTGAGACATAAAACATACATGTGACAAGCATCATAACAAACATGTGACCTACACAAATATAAAAGGAAATAGCTGAGTAAGAGCTAGGCTTGGCCAGGTGCAGTGGCTTATGCCTATAACCCCAGCACATTAAGAGGCCCAGGTTGGTAGACGGGGGCAAAACCCAGTCTCTACAAAAAATTCAAAAATTAGCTGGGTGTGGTGGTGGTGGCATGTGCCTGTAGTCCCAGCTACTCACAAGGCTGAGGCAGAATATCACTTGAACCCAGAAGGCAGAGGTTGCAGTGAGCAGAGATGGCACCACTGCACTCCAGCCTGGGTGACAGAGTTAGACTCTGTCTCAAAAAAATAAAAAATAAAAAATAAAAAAATATAAGATTTGGGCTTAGTAAATATAGAAGGCTTTGTAGGGGATCAAGTTTGAATTGCATTTTGAGAAAAGAAGATGATGAATATTAATAAACACGTGAAGTGAATGGGAGAGAGGCTAGTAATCAAAGGCATGAAGCCCAAGCCATAGAAGTAAGAACTAATGAAATGTGTGAAATTAACAGATATTAATTTTATGGAAAGATAAAGCTCAAGAGTAGAAACCTTGATTAAAAAGATACCTCGTCAATTATCTGAAGGATAAGGGAAGAAAGAGCATTTCAGATGGAGGCACTCCCTGTGTGAAAGCTTGGATCATTCAGTGTCAGTCATGTAGCAAGATGATGTTAGCTTGGAGATGTAGCTATGGTAGAGGCTGACCACTACTAAAGGAGCTAGGTCATTATAGGCCTGGTCATCTTGCTATAGAGCTGTAGTCTGGTGCATTGAAAAAGTACTGAGTGAAACAGAAGGGAGCTAGGACATGATTACAGAGGGCTGGGAGGGAGATGATGAATATAAAGGAAAAGGGAAGTGAGGAGAGAAACTAGATGTTAGAGGTATTTAGTCAATTCAGTAGGATTTAATGATTTATTGCAGACAGAATGAAGGGGAAGGAGAATGAAGGATAATTCTTATGTCTGTTTAGCTAATTGAACACTTAAGGGGAACCCTGGGCCAACAAGGTTTTTCTTTTTTTAATTTTTATTTTTTTAGAAGAGATAGTGAATTAAATGTTATTTGCATTTAATCCTAGGTAATTGAGATACACAGGATGAGATATCTAGAGGGTAGATAGTCAGGTCCAGCCTTGGTGTTACCCATTTGGAAGCCATAGCATCGTAATGGATTAGATTTTAGCTGGGCCTAGGAGGATGAGGTGTGTTATTGGTCAGTACCAGGGAAAAACAGAGGGCTTCTGAGCTGCATGGTGACATGTCCATGGAGTAAGGAGAAGACAGGTATCACTGAACTCAGCATGTGCTGGAATAATATGTGATAAGGATGAATCATGGATCAGTAAGGTGAGGCAAATTTATAGATGGAAGTAACAGAATAAGAGGTGCTACACTTTTTAATTGAAGCAACTTTTAGAAAAGGAAGATGAAATTACACAATGAATGAACTGCTTAAGGATGAATAATTGGGTAGACATTGGAAGACAGGACTTTATTTCAGTCAAGTCATGTGAATTGTGGTTACTGTGGTTGGAAGATATAGGAGAGGTACATAATAGCTGTCATATAAGAGACAAAGAATAAGAGTAACATGGAAATGTATGCTCAAATGAGACAGATCAATAATTGTATTCATGATTTACTGACACGAAATGCTCTTTATTGCCTGTATCCCAGGTCTTACCTTGTTTCCAGTTAGCTGTGATTTCAAAGAAGATACTCCTTTGTGACCCTTGCTTCAGTCATCTTTCCATTTCTTTCTTTTCTCTTTGTTTCTGCTAACCTGCTGAGGAGGCTGACAGCTCTGGACGCAAGTGTTTTTGCTTCAGGAGTAGATGGGAGAAAAGCATGTCCTGTAGTTATAATGCTGCTTTTTCCTAGGCAGGGAGAAGCAGCCCCTAAATTCTAGAGAAAAATACTGCCTTAGTTCAATGTAGCAGTTCTGATATTCCTGTGAGTTTAAGAAAAAACAAACAAACCCTTCCTCCGCTCACCAAACGAAGCAATAACAAACCAACAAACCAGAAACCTTAAAGCAGAGGAAATCCAGATTGTACTTACTCTTCTTCTCACTCACAAAGAAAAGGATTCACCACATTTTTACTGTCATGGCATTATTGCCGTTAAAGTCTTTTTCTTTCTCTGTCTAGTAAGTCTTTTTTTTCCTGTTCAATACAGTTTTTTTTTGCTTGTTCATTTTTTTTCCGATCTAGTGGAGAGAACATTGCAGGATTATGAATAAGACCCTGAGCTGGATGTCGTGGCTCATGCCTGTAATTCCAGTGTTTTGGGAGGATGAGGCAGGAGGATCACTTGAGACCAGGAGTTGGAGACCAGCCTGGGCAAAATAGTGAGACCCCATCTCTACCAAAAATAAAAAAATAAAAATAAAAAAAGAAGAAGATGGGCATGGTCATACATGCCTGTAGTCCTAGCTACTTGGGAGGCTGAAGCAGGAGGATTGCTGTAGCCAAAGAGTTTGAGGTTTCAGGGAGCCCTGATCATGCCACCGAGTACAGTCTAGATGACAGAGCAAGACTTTAAAAAATTAAAATTGAAAAAAGGACCCTGATAACCATTTGTAGATACAAACACATTTCAAGTTGGGTCTGGTGGGCCGTTTTCCTTTAGGGTTCACCACTTGTGGTGCCATGTTGCAAAGACACAGTGCTATTTATCATGTAGCTATCTTACAGATCTTTTGTCTAATACCTAACAAACCACTCTTTTAGTCCTCCAGGAAAAAGTTCTGGGCACTTTAAGCCCCATGCCTTGTTCAGAATTATCCTTGCTATATGCTGTGGTCTAAACTGTGATTCTCCAAAATTCATTTCATGAAGCCCCAAAGCATAGTAGCTTAGAATGTAACCATATTTGGATATAAGACTTTAAAGATGTGACTGCTTTACTATGAGCTCAACAGGGTGGGGCCCTAATTCAATGCGACTGGTGTTCTTATAAGAGGAAAAGACACTGTGGAGAAAAGAAAGAAGAAAAGGAAGATTAAAAGCCATCTGAGGATACAGGAAGAAGGTGGCCTTCTGCAAGCCAATGAGAGAGGCCTGAGAAGAAACCAAACCTGCTGACACCTGGATCTTGACCTTCTAGCTTCCAAAACTGTGACAAAATATATTTCTGTTGTTTAGGCCACTTAGTCTGTGGGTTTTTTTTTTTATGTCTGTCATAGAAAACGTAATATACAGTACTTTCTGGTGAGTAAGTTTTTATTTTCCCTGAGTGAATTTTTAGTAGCACATATCTTTTCTGTGCTGAAAATGTGAGACCTCTGATGATTTGATGAGCCCTTCTCTTACCCTAACTTGCTTTTACACTTGTAATATTATACCAAAACTAAGTGCTTTCTATTCTTATTTTCTTGTTAGTGTGATGTTTCACTTAGTTGCATTATTCATTTTGCTAGAAATTTTGAATACATTTGCTAAAGCTGGAATGAAAATCTCAATAAATGAATAAATAATGATTTAGTGACATCTGCCGTGTGCTTGTTCACTCGTTGATCTTTAAGAGTGAAATTTTCCAAAAGAGACTGATCATTAGGGGTTTCTGTAGATCTTAAGTATGATGCTTTTTAAAACCTTTTATCAGAAACACGCTTCTTTGATTAACATGAATATAATATAGTGATGTAGTTAAGAGTATATGGTCTGGAGTTAATGTGCTATGGTTTAAATCCTGGCTCAGCCTCTTGGAAGCTGGGTAACAATGAGTGAGATAATCAATTAAATTAGAGCCTCATTTTCCTCATCTGTAGAACAAGAGTAATAATAGTTGTGTTCAACTCATAGTACTGTGATGAAGATTGAATAAGTTAATAAATACAACAGCACCTGGTTCATCGTAAATGCTCCCTACATTTGGGCTATTGTTATTTTTCTAAATTCTATTGCTTGCTTGTCTGAACATCATCTTGGGTTAATATTGTTACTACTGGAACTTTATTGTGATATTAACTTAAAGCAGATTTCTCACCTTTGGCTCTATTGACATTTGGGGCTGGATAATTCTTTGTTGTGAGTGCTCTCCTGTGTATGTAGCATGTTTAGCATCTGTGGAGTTTAACAGCGTCTATAAAGTCTACCTACCAGACCCCGGTAGCACACTGCCTCCTCACCCAAGTTGTGACAACTGAAAGTGTCTCTAGATGTATTCATCCATTTTCACATTGCTATAAAGAAATGCTAGAGGCTGGGTAATTTATAAAGAAAAGAGGTTTAATTGGCTCATGATTCAGCAGGCTGTTCAGGGAGCATAGTAGCTTCTACTTCTAGGAAGGCCTCAGGAAAGTTTTAACCATGGCAGAAGGCGAAGGGGGAGCAAACACTTCACATGGCTAGAGCAGCAGGAAGAGAGAGATTGGAGAGTTGCTACACAATTTTAAAAAACTAGATCTCATGCTAACTCACTATCACAAGAACAGCACTAGGGGATGGTGTTAAAACATTGGACCTCCATGATCCAGTCACCTCCCACGGGGTTTAGGTGGGGGCCCACCTCCAACACTGGGTATTACAATTCTGTATGAGACTTGGTGGGGACTCTGAACAAAACCATATCACCAGACATTGCCAAATGTACTCTGGGGGTAAAACTACCCCCAGTTGAGAATCCCTAAAAAACTTTGATTAACAAATAAAATACTGTTTGGGAAAATATATCTAAAATCTGCTTCTTACATGAGCTCGATTTATTTTGACTGATAGTCTTGGGATTTTGTAAGGTAGCTTTTCTTTAAAAATATTATTAAAGGAGGTCATCTACAGTGTAACTCATAATTTCTCTCACTGTGTCATAAGGCCAGAATATCTTGATATGTCTAATTCTCTAAATTAGAATGTATAGCCATGAAAAACATAATTGACTTAAAAACTGATCAAATATGTTTTCATGAAAACATCTAGTAGCTGAAATAAATTATACCTGCCACTTATTAGAGATAACTCAGATGTTATCACAAATGGAATTGTAATTACTTACTTATATTTCTCATGGTGCTATAGAGATTTGTCTAAATTAGAATTGGGAGTAGGAGGGAGAAATTTAAATATTCATGAAAGTGTGATGTCATATTTCATGATTAAAGGTATGGAAAGATTAAGTATATGGATAATTTTTAAAGTACCATAGAGGTATTTTTCTAGAGAAATGAGACACATCACAGTCAAGTACATGTGGATGTATATTATCTTTATAAATTAAGATATTACGTGGAACTTACTATGGTTCAAGAACTCAGTAAGAATTTTTTAAAAAAATAAGTATGCTTGCATAAATTCCAAAGTATAATGACATCTTGTCTCTGTCATCCCTTTGTAGTCCATCAAAATGATTAATGCCTGTCAGTTGCCATTCATTACTCTTTTGCTGACTGGAAGTTGCAGTGCCTCATCTGATACACTGATACACTGATCAATGTGGAATAGGCTGAAAGTACATTTTGCGGGTCTGTGGAATTTGTCTTAATACTTACTCTAAAGTATTTAAATACTTAAATAGTTAATATTTATTTTATTTTACAATAAATACTGTTTTATAATTATATGTGTGTGTATGTATATATGATATATAATTTAAAGAATATATATCACTATATAATGATATATAAAGATATATGAATATATGGATATAATGGTATATATACTATTCATTGTGATATATATATATAATGGTATATATATATTTCACTGTGATATGAAATATATATAAATATATTTTAAATATTATATATATATATATATGTATCACTACAGTGTTAAAGTCAAGAAGCATGGGAAGCAAACAGATCCAGAATTCAGGGAATACACCACATATAATAAATGATATCTAGCTCTCTTTCTCCACTAAAAAATACGATTATTGTAGTTTAATAGCCTAATGGGATTTTCCACATACTTAATAGTTACCACATCATGTTTTCATGCTAAGGACAGGTTTTCTATAATCCTTTACTGGCAAGGTGACAAGCTGGAAAAGAATGGGTTGTCTATTACTGATTATGTAGTCTCTAAGAAATCTTTTTCTTTTGTTGACAATTTGAATGCCATGTCTTACAGTTTTTGTCAGTGTGAGAATTTTTTAAATTACTTATTTTATTTTTATTTTGTTGGATGCTTTTTCTGTTTGACCAATACCAGCAAGTCCTTCCAAAATCACAATATAGCTAAACATATCTTCCTTTCTCAATTGTATTAAATGTTTATTATATTATTAATTGGGTGAATTTTTGTATTAATATGTTATTTAAAATACACCATTTAAAATTAGATTCAATATTTATGTCAGTTTTACTTTCTTTCTCTTTGTCCTGATTGTTTTATATAGTCAACATTGAAACTGAGAATAGAGAGAAAGAGAAACAAGGGATTTTAAAGGATAATAGTAATAAGCCTTTGTATAATTTTTTTCATACATGACTTTTTAAAATTTCATAATAGTGAGGTGATGTGGATGTACCTTCTAACATCATCACATTTTGACAGTGAGGAAAGTGAGACTATGCATGGGAAAAAGTGAGGCTTAGTAAGTGAAGCAATAAAGTGGAAATGGTACTTTGTCTAGCCCCTCTGACCCCAGACCCTGTGCTCTCATGCTACATCACAGTGTCTGTGGAATAAACTTTTATCACTTTTGTTGTTGAGAAAATGAACTTGAGGTTTCTTATTATGATGTATAATTTCCCCTGGGAAAATCGTTGATAGCTTGATAAAGACAGCCAAGAGTTTTGGAGAATGATTAAATACCACTCTTCACTTTTTTTTTCTTTTAACAAGGCTTTGAGGATCTCTTCTTCTGATGCTGAAAAACAGCAGCCAACTCAAGGGGGGAATAATATGAAAATATAAATACATATTTTAACATATTTAAGTATCAGATGTTGTGGAGTACTCAAAGAGTGTTTTTGCCCGGTTTTAACATATGCACATCTGTATTTTTCTTTATAAAACAAATGTAGTGAAATAGTTTAATGCTGAATATTTTATTACCTTTTTCTACACACTCACCATCTTCAAAATCAATCAACCTTCACTTCAGGCATACTGTATGTGGTCTTATACTAGAAAATACATAAATATATTGTTTAAAGGATTAAAAGAAATTAACCACATGCCATTTGTTTCACGAACCAAAGCTGAGTAGTTTATGTCTGTTTTATAGCGCATACACAATACTTGACCTCCCCCTCCCAGGACTTAGAACAATATGAACTCTGAAATAGAAAGTCTTCTCGGAAACTTTGGGAACATTGTGTCAGACGGAGAGATAGTGCTCAGATAAGAGCCAGTGGTAGTTGTAACTCTCAGTAATAATATCCATCATATCATCTCGTGGATCAGTGGTTGTCTTAGTGGAAATCAGAAGATAATGCCAAAGAGACATTAAATGTTCAGAATGTCCTGCACTGTAGAGTATAACTTGTTAAATTTCACTTCTGTTTAAATCTCAATTACTGGAAGAAGCAGGTGGTGATAATTATCTTACTCCTTCTTTTTTTTTTTTTTTTTTTTTTGAGACGGAGTCTCGCTCTGTCGCCCAGGCCGGACTGCGGACTGCAGTGGCGCAATCTCGGCTCCCTGCAAGCTCCGCTTCCCGGGTTCACGCCATTCTCCTGCCTCAGCCTCCCGAGTAGCTGGGACTACAGGCGCCCGCCACCGCGCCCGGCTAATTTTTTGTATTTTTAGTAGAGACGGGGTTTCACCTTGTTAGCCAGGATGGTCTCGATCTCCTGACCTCATGATCCACCCGCCTCGGCCTCCCAAAGTGCTGGGATTACAGGCGTGAGCCACCGCGCCCGGCCATCTTACTCCTTCTTGAAGTTTAAGCTATTTAACAATTAATTATTAATCAGGGTTAGAATCAAGTTAAATAATCTACTTCATTTAGATTTTTCCTTCTAAACCGAGTATAAATTCCCATTAGTACTACTGTTATTAAATGGAACAATGACATTATGATCTATAGATACTTTCCTTTCTAGATAAACATATTGTAAATTCACTCCAGCATGTGAGCTATATGTTCTAAGTAAACAATGTGATTCTCCTATTTAGCAAAATATTTCATTCAGTGTATTGTCTTATCCTAACTCTGAGCTTTCCAATGTATATTTAGAAATGATATTCCTTTGTGAAAGACTGTATTTCTCAGTGTGCATACCTGTTAGAAAAATCAAACATAGGGTGCAAGAAAAAGTGGTGAATTTTTTTTTTTACTTGTTCCTGCAGTTATACTCATACTCCTCTGCTCATGTAAACATTTCAGCTCCCCAAATTCAACCTGACTGCTTGAAAATCTTTACTAATAATCATTACCTCTTGAATAAAATCCAGATTCCTAATCCTTCAGACTAACCTCCATGAGAGCAGACACTTTGTGGTTGTGCTTGTGGCTAATATCATCAGTGCTTGCTATTGTGCCTGTCCTACAGTAGGTAATCAGGAAATATTTGTGAAAGAAAAAAATATCATAACCAAGGTACTATGCTATCTGACTTAAGTGTACTTTCCTGAGGTCATCTTACATAACTCATCTCCATACATTCTATGTTTTAATCCAATGAGACTATTTTTCTTGCACCTTCAAATGACCCCATTATCTCCATGCATGAAACACCAGTTCAAGTGTACTCTCTTCCTAAAGTTTTTCTTATCACCTCATTTAGATTTTTTTCTTCTCAAACTGTCTTAGAATTTTGTGTTTCTTTTACTATTTTTTTTCATTTTTCATTGAATCACAGTTACTAAATGTATCCTTTTTCAACTCCTTGAGGTGAGTGAGTATAAGAGAGAGGAGAGTATCTTAACTCTTCTTTCTTCAACAGTGCTCAGCATAGGACCCTCAAGTGTACTGGTGTCCAATACATGTTGGTGTGCTGTGTTGGTGTTCAATATATGATTGTTGACTGAATGGACACTTCTTTGTTCACTTTACTACAGAATTGACTTTTTTTTTTTTTTTTTTTTGAGACGGAGTCTCGCTGTCTTGCCCAGGCTGGAGTGCAGTGGCACGATCTTGGCTCACTGCAAGCTCCGCCTCCCGGGTTCTCGCCATTCTTCTGCCTCAGCCTCCCTAGTAGCTGGGACTACAGGCGCCCGCCACCATGCCCGGCTAATTTTTTTGTATTTTTAGTAGAGAGGGGGTTTCACCATGTTAGCCAGGATGGTCTTGATCTCCTGACCTCGTGATCCACGAGGCCGCCTCGGTCTCCCAAAGTGCTGGGATATAGGCATGAGCCACCGTGCCTGGCCAGAATTGACTATTTTTTGGTTATCACTTTTTCCTTTAGATAAATCTTAAAAAACTTCCCACAGCTGATGTAATTTGATAGAAATTCAGTTGAACTTAGTTCTTAAAGATATCTGACAAACAACTTTTGACTTGAAATATAATAAGAAAGAACACTGAACTTGGAGGAAGAATCTTGAGTTCCAAAACTGGATTTCTGTGAACTGGTTGAGTAAATTTGACATCAAAATCAATTCTTCGCATTAACATCGTATGCAAAAGAATTTAATATGGTACATGGCGATAGCTATACCTCAATAAAGCCTCCTTTCATCCTTTTCCTATTATTATTTCCCTTCACTTAACTTTTTTTTTTCTTTTTCCTTTTCCTTCTTGCCCTCTCCTTTAAAAATCATAAATTTATTGAATGACTTTTAACATTTTATGACCTAAAACTTTTCTGGCCTGGATTTTATATTAAATCAGTTCAGCCTGCTTTATTAGTTTATTTGATTTCCCATATACAAAAATTGAAAAAAAAATTCTATTTGCTTTTTATTGAAAAACAAAAGACTAACTAAACAATAGTGCCTTAAGCTCCTATGATGAAATATATAGAGTATTTTTAAAAACATCATTGGTTAGCAATATCTAGGTATGTTGCTAGCATCTACCTTCCAAATCCACTTTGGAATGGCTTTGTTGCTTAGATTTTAAAGAAACAAAATTTAAAGAAACTTATAGTTTGAATCTGGGCTGACAGTGGGTGAAAGGCCAGGACTGAGCATCTTTTGTAAGGTGAGTCAATCTTCTTAATTGTGAAATGCCCCTTTTATGCAGATTTTTCTTTTTCTTTCAAGTGCATCTGTTCTGTGTTTTAGGTGGTGTTTAAACACTTTTAACAGAATGGATAGATTTTCCTATTATTTTATCTACAAATAAACACCTGGTTCTTGATACTTCTCTTTCTCCTTTTATCACCTTTTGCCTAAGGAAATCTAATTTATTCATTTTGCCTGTATTTTATACTCACAATATTTTCTTTTTTGCTTTTACCTTCTGCATATAACAAAACATTATTCTTGCACAGAGCTCTTTTTTTCTTGCAAACACATTTACTCTTAATATTTTATCTTTTGAGTCTATATTATGCTGATGGGAAGTTTTTCATATAGGATTGTTTCATTTTTATGATACAGGTTCACTTCTTTCTCTTCATTGCCTTGTTTGTAGTTTTTTTTCCCTGCAGAATGTTTTGTATGCTACCTTTCTCTTTACTTTTTCCAGAATACTTTCTAAACAAGCAGATTGTGAATTTCAAATAATTCATTTTTATTTTTATGTTATGAACTGACATTCTTTTCCTCTGCTATTATTCAGATGAGGAAGAAAGATAAAAGTGATAAAAGGAACATAAATTCTGCCATAGAAGTTACCGCCAAGTGAATACATATTCTAGTATATAGGAGTTTTACTCATGAAATATTTTGCCTTTACTTAAGAAACCTAAGTTAAATAGGAAAATGATTATTTTCATTTTAAAAAAATTAAGGTATAAATTGTGTGTGCAAGTATATGCACAGTCTCCCCAAATTATATTTTTCTGTGTAAATATTTACAAAATTGAATATCCTTCTTTTTTAATGACTCCTATGCAGACAGGAGGGAGGGTACTTCATAATTTTGGTTCATAACATCCCTTAAGGAATTCATTCTAGTGGCCAAAAGAGCAACACCTTTGTAGGAGGGAAACAGGATCAATCAAGTTAACAAAATTATTGTTATAAGTTTCTTCACAGGAAGCTTTATGAAATAAAAATTATATTCATAATAAAATAAGAAATTATGAATTATGAACTCATCTTAAAATGGTCTTTAAATGTTCTGTATGATGTCAGTGGGCCACACAACTTGTTCAGTGTCTAATTATGTTGATAAAATAAGATATGGGACTTTTTTTTTAGGTGAAATAATTTCCATTGTAACTTTTTGCATATGTATGACAAATTATTCTCTTTACGCAAAGTTAATTGGAGGTTTGATCAAGAATCTAGGCTCTGTCTGGTTCAATAAATCCTACATAATTATTTATTCATATTATTTCCCTCATAAGTAGGAATTTTTGTCCTATCATTGTTATTTTGCTATGTTGCCTGTGTAGATACAGCTATCAGTTTGAAGCAGCAGTTCTGTCTATGAGAAGATAAAATAATATCTTTGATGGGTTTCTCCATGTCAGGGTTCCTTCACCTTCAGGCATGTTTTCCAACATGTAGTTCTTTTTTTTCTTCTTAATTGAATCAGTATTGCTCATAAATTACAATTGAGTGCAGATTGAAGGAAATGCAATGTCTTCTTAGGAGAGTGTGTCACCTAGTATTTATAATGTAATCACAATGTTCATAGAAATTTAAACGTATTCTTTCCCCTACAACATTTACACTTTAACAGAGACAAAACAAATATATAATCATTAAAACTGTTAAAGGTAAGCAGGTAATTATAAGATTGCACTGAATTTCAGCTATAAGAATGGGAGTGACTAATTGGAGAAAGTATCCTACAGCTATAATTTTAGGGGAGAAAGCCCTGTGGATAGAGAAGAGATGCTGTTCTAGGTAAATAAAATGGTCTGAGTAGAGCCAAGGAGGTTCACTCTTAAAAGTATAAGGAGCTAGTACAGATAAATTTCAAAGGCAAGCCAGTATCCAGATTCAAAAACATCTTCTTAAATTATATGGTTTTCTCGCCACAGATTTAGATTCATTCTCATTAGAAATATTGCATTTTTAAGTATGGCTTTTAGAGGCTTGTGGCTTAACCAGAGCAAAGGCAGTAGGGTATGATCTAAAGGTCATTCTGCAATTTTAGCAGAGTATAACTGTCTCCTGGGTCAAGATTTGGCTATTCTCTCAAGAAAAGGAGGTTAAATGACATCTAAATGGTATTGTTAAGTAAACCAATAAGAAGTTTTATCTTTGTAGTTATAATTCTGTGACAGGCTTTTCTTCATGTCAGAATTACTGATCCCTCATAAAGACAAAAGCTTAGGTAAGAAAATGTTTTCATCTGATTTAGTTTTATTGCTTAGAGCTGTGCAATTTTTATATGCCTATTTAAAAAGAAAAAAAGGAAAAAACTCAGAAAGTTATTTTTTTCTGGGTAAAAGATAATTGGAAAGCATTTCAACCAAAAGTCAATATAAGTCTGTTGAGTTTGTCATTCTCCAGATATGCCCTCAGTTTATTTTTAAAAAATCTTAAGTTGACAATGCATTTTATTTGGCTATAATAATTTAAGTAATATTAGACATCTAGACTTATCATATTCATCATAGAAAAATTTTGGTAGCATCTTTATATTTTTAATCTAAAGCAAAATATTGATCAGCCTGTCCTAGGATGTAGTTAATACATTAGCTGATCAATTTAAATGCCATGATAACTTCAGACTCATAGATCAAGTGCTTTTTATAGTACTTTGGAAACCCTTGAGTTTTTTTATTCTTTCTTGGACTTGAATTAATTTTCAGTCTTTCTTCTTACTGTACTTAAAGTTTTTGACAGTAGAGCCATCATTAAATGAATGGGAGTTTGACCTAAACTTATAGCTGATATTGATAACAACTGCTTAAATTTTAGTGAAACAGTGAAATGTGTCATTGATAAAAACATCATGACCTAGGTTCCCTGAGTATGTTAGTAACTCCAATTTGTTAGAGTTTATATGTATCATGGTGTTCCATGGGTGATAGAGTGCCAAAACAATACAAACATTTACATATTTATGGACATTTTGGAAACAGTCAATTACCTACTTGTAATAAAATATTTAATATTAGAAAAATTGAAGAATAATATAAATTAATTTATTTTAGTTTTAGGTTGAGTTTCTTTGACTCAAGAATTTCTACTTATGTTTTTCATTTCTCTTACTACCTAAAACTAAAGAAAACATTAAGAAAAAGGCAGGAAAGGAACCTAATTCTTTTTTTAAACTTTTTATTTTTATTTTATTTTATTTTATTTTTTGAGATGGAGTCTTGCTCTGTCGCCCAGGCTGGAGTACAGTGGCGCAATCTTGGCTCACTGCAACTTCCGTCTCCTGGGTTCAAGCGATTCTCCTGCCTCAGCTTCCTGAGTAGCTGGGACTACAGGAGTGTGCCACCACACCTGGCTAATTTTTTGTATTTTTAGTAGAGACGGGGTTTCACCATGTTAGCCAGGATGGTCTTGATCTACTGACCTTGTTATCTGCCTGCCTCGGCCCCCCAAAGTGGTGGGCTTATAGGTGCGAGCCACCACGCCCGGCCCTAAACCTTTTATTTTAAAACAATTTTAGATTGGCAATATGAGTATAACCATTCAAAGAAGCAAAAACAAAATGTACTGTGAGATTCAAGGCACTGTCTTATTCCCTTTTTCTCTTCTTTTTATTCATTAAATATTTATGTAGTACTGACTTTAAGTGCTGGGGAAACTAAGGTGAATATAATAGCCGTTGCCCTGGAAAATTTCATAATCGATTGTGGAATAGAGACACATTAACAGATAACCCAAATCAACTGTATTAAATGCAATAGCGGAACAAAGAGAAGTAGGATCACATAATCCAGCTCTGCAGCAGAGGTGAGGGTGGAGAGCAGCAACAAAAGAGAGCAATGGCAAGGGAATTCTTTATATTTTTGCACATGTGAAATGTCTGTATAGAAATATTTGACTAAGATTTACTCAGCAATTAGAAATTGTTTTTTGTTTGTGCCTATGTAATTGTATCATTACGATTTCAGTATCATTTAGACTTTATGGATAATCTACACACTAAATGTTTATTAGGGAAGGAAAAGTACTTTTAGAATATGCAACAATTCTGGTGACACTCAATACATTTTTGTTAAATATATTAATTTATCCGTTTATTCAACTAATATTTATTGAACAGCTGCATAGTGCTAGTCATTGCACTTGAGTCCCAGGAAGATATTGTTATGGACTGAATGTTTATGACCTTCCAAAATTCTATGTAGGCTCCTGCCCCCAATGTTATAGTATTTGGAGATAGGACCTTTATGAAGGTAGTTAATGTTAAATGAGATTATAAGTGTGTGGTCTTGATCTAATAGGAGTGGTGTGCTTATAAGAAGAGACACCAGAGAGCTCATACTCTCTCTCAACCATGTGAGGACATAAGAAGTTGGCTTTCTGTAAGTCAGAAAGAGAGCTCTTACCAGAACCCAATCATACTGCCATTCTGATCTCCTCCAGACTCCAGATCTGTGGCAAAACAAATTTCTGTTGTAAAAGCCACCAAGTCTGTGGTATTTTGTTGTAACAACCTGAGCTGATTAAAACAGCCATAAATAATAAGTGTAATACATAAATAAGGTTAATATAACAATTGCATTATTAACATAAAGTGTAATACAGGTAGAATATTATAAGGCAACGACTTGTGGAACACAGGAAAAGTGGGAAAGAGATAGGGAATAGGAAGTGGTGTGATGAAGGGAATCTTACAACATTAAGTAGGAGGTCTGGGTAGGCCTAATTGAAAATATGACATTTGAGCAAACACATGAAGTTTGTCCTGTGGATATTTGGGAAGTTCGCATTCTAGGCAGTGAGAACAGCCAGGGTCCTGGCCCTAGGGTGGCATCATGTCTGCTGTGTTTGAAGAGTTGCAAGGGGCCAGTTTGGCTGGAGGAGAGGGATACTGGAAATTAATTAGCAGGCAATAAGTTTGGAGATCTAATAGGAGTGAGGTACCTCAGGGCCTTTTAAGCTATTATAGATTTTAGGTTTTACTTTGAGTGAAGAGAGGAACCATTGTAGGGTTTTAAGGAGAAGGGTAATGTAGTGAAGGGATTTGACTGACTACTGTATTATGAATAGATGTTAGGAGGGGCCAGACAAAAGCAATAATACCAATTAAAAGGCTATTATAGTAATCCAGGCAAGAGAAGATGGTGGTTCTGACTAGGGTGGAACAGTAGAGGTGATTAGTGATTAAATTCTGTATTTTGAAATAAAAACCAAGTGTATTTACTGATGGTTAAGATTTGAGGTATGAGACAAATATAGGAATCAAGGATGACTCCAGGATTTGGAACCTAAGCAACTGAAAAACTGCGGTTACCGCAAACTGAATGAAGGAAAATATTTGTCTCCGTTCGCCTAACCTGCTGTTATTCATCACTGGTAGAATTCAGGTGGCTTTGGTTGTAGAATATAAACAGAATATTTTGAGAAAAATGAAAGGAAGATAAAAATAACTAGGGAAAATAACCATGTTATGGTATTTAAGTTGCTTTTAGCTATTTTAATCTTCATTTCTCTTGAATGAACCTTAAGGTCTTCACCATGGCTGCAAGGAGCGTGATAAAATTCAAGTGATAATAATTTACAATATAAAGGCTTGATCAGAAATAGCATGGACTTCATTTTGTTTTTAAGGCTGTGCTTCCTGTATCTACATATAAATATTTAATTCCTACCAAATTGTATATGCACCATTATGTTAAGCTATTCTGTAAAATCTTTTGAGAAAATGTGTGATGCTATCTTAACACAATTAAATTAGTTTCATCCATTTTTCATCTGCAAAACAGCCCATGGAGGTATTTCAAAATGATTAATTTTTCATACTTATTCACAAAGCAGTTCTACTAATAGTTGGATTTTTGTAATATATAGTTTTAAAAATATTTCCAGTATGTTAAATACATTATATTTTTCATAGTGTTTTCCTTCTTATTAGCATTATGTACCAGACAAGATGCCTGCGGGAAAGAGATGACACACTCAAAAAGAGTGACTAAGGAAGGTTTAATAAAGGTAATATTTACCAAGGTGTGGGCACGGTTAAGAGAAGTCAGCAAGGGATGGTGAAGCTTGGGGAGCTGGTAGGGACTGAATTTTTGTGTCCTCCAAAATTCATATGTTGAAATCCTAATCCCTACTGTGATGGTATTTGGAGATGGGGGTTTTGGAAGGTAATTACTTTTAGATGAAATAATAAAGGTAGGGCCCCTGTAGTGGGATTAGTGTTCTTATAACAAGAGGAAGAAAAACCAGAGCTCCCTTGCTGCCCTCCACCTATATGAGTGAACATTTGCAAACCAGGAAGATGGCTGCCACTAGGAATTGAATTTCTAGCTCCTTGATCGTGGATTTTCCAGCCTCCAGAACTTCGGAAAATAAATGTTGTTTAAGCCACCCAGGCTATGCTACTTTGTTGTAATAGCTTGAGCTGACTAAGATAGTGAGTAGGCTCACAAGACCAAGATTGCTGTCTTGGTTTTTCAGGTACCTGGAGATAGAGTTATATCTTTATTTTTTATATTTATTTTTATGTTTTTAAGACAGAGTTTCGCTCTGTTGCCCAGGCTGGAGTGCAGTGGCGTGATCTCATCTCGTTGCAACCTCCACCTCCCAGATTCAAACGATTCTCCTGCCTTAGCCTCCTGAGTAGCTGGGACTAAGGGCACATGCCACTATGCCTGGCTAATTTTTGTGTTTTTAATAGAGACAGAGTTTCACCATGTTGTTCAGGCTGGTCTCGAACTCTTGAGTGCAAGTGATTTCCCCGGCCTAGGGCTCCCAAAGTGCTGGGACCACAGGCGTGAGCCACCGCACCTAAGGCCAGTTATACCTTTAAGTGTAGCTGTATCTGTATTAGAAGACCATTGAAAAGAAGCAGTAAACTTGGGTAGAGGAACAAATCCTGGAACAGAGCTTGACCTAATGGGGCTCACACATGCTGATTCTGCTTGCATTTTTAATTGACTAAACACAAGAAAGTATATTAGGAAAGGGAACCCAATTAATATAGTTCCTACAGGTCAGCCTCCAGGGGGACACAGCAAGCTATAGAGACCTGAAGAGTAGATTTGGAGAGACACACAGAAAAATCTAGCCGACGTGAAATTATTATTTATAAAGGGAAAATTGATTTACATCAAGATCAACAAATATATCAAGCATTATGAGTCAACACCCCTAATTGTGCTAAGTAGTCTTCTTAGCTTATATATATAAAGTTTTTATTAGAAAATATGTTCAAACTTACAAAAAAGTGGCCAAATAAGAATATTACAAAGAATATCCCTATCCCCTTTAACCAGATTCACCTATTGTTAGCATTTTACTCCATATACTTTATTATATGCTCTGTGTCTCTTTTTATCTTAGTAATATATTTTATGTTATTTTTCTATTATAAAAGCATTGTCAGTTGAGGCGTTGGGCTGAGTCCTTGACTGCAGCTCAGTAATTGCAATGCGTTGGCTGTAAATACCAAGTCTAGTGTGGGGATGGTAGCTTTCCGCCATGTGACCTGACAGGTAAAAGCCTTTGTAATTGCCTGTAGTTAGGCCTCAAAGATCTCACACAGGATTTTGGGTCAGAGCTGGACTCCTCAATCCTTTGTCAGAAATTATAATTTTATTCAGATTAATTTTTATTCATCATTCTTCCTCTGTTTTAGCTTTAATTCTAAAAATAAACATGGAATGCTCAACATCAGTCCTTTTTTAAAGTTTTTTCACTCCTCCCTTGGTTGGATGAAGCTCCCACCAGGTCTGTCCCCCAACGGAATTACAATTTGACATGAGATTTGAATGGGGACACAGAGCCAAACCATATCAACATTTCTAGCGTAGTTTTGATACTTCTAATTCAAAGTGTTTTTAATGACCCCAAATGTTTCAGGATGTTTAATTCAACATGGAATTTTTTTATTTCCATTTTTTGGCTTTATGTTTGTTTTTAGGAGAGTTTTCATTAGGAGAAATTGCTTTCGTCATAATTTTAGCAGTCATTTAGCATCGATGTGATCTGCTTTTTCTAACATTATTTATATTGTAAGTAGGTTCCTCACTAAGAGTATATGTGTACAATATCCCTGGGCCTTTGTACGTTCAAATCTGCTTTTTATAGACTTGATATATGAAACACAGTTTGACTGAATGTATCTTTGGCTCATACTTTCATTTTTTTTAACTTTCTTGAAAATATCACTGTACTTGTACCTTGCTTTGTATGTTGTTTTTCAGAGAAGTTTGATGAAATTCAAATTATTTTGCATTTGTAAGATATTTTCTCTCTTTGCCTAACAGTGCTGAGGATGGTATCTTCAAACTCTAATAGTTTTGCCAGACATGTGCCAGAGTTTAGTGTTCTGAGTCAATAGAAATGATGTGTCATTCCTATGGGTGGAATCCAGTCTTACTTTATTTTGGGAATGTTTTTCATTATAGATGTAATAAATTTTTATGTGATTCTATTTTCTCTTGGTAATATTTTCCTTTTATCTTTATTTCTGATATGAGTTATTCTTTTTCTATTTCTTTCTGAAGTCCATTACATTCTCTTATCTTTTCTTCTTATTTGACCATTTGTATTAGTCTGTTCTCACTCTGCTAAAAAGAACTACCTGAGACTGGATAATTGACTCACAGTTCTGCAGCCTCTACAGGAAGCATGGCTGGGAGGCCTCTAGAAACTTACAATCATGTGGAAGGCAAAGGGGAAGTAAATACCTCTCACCATGCAGGAAACAGAGAGAGAAGGAAGTGGGAAGTGCTACACACTTTGAAACAGCCAGATCTCATGAGAGCTCACTCACTATCATGAGAACAGCAAGGGGAAAATCTGCTCCCATGATCTAATCACCTCCCACCAGGTCTGTCTCCCAGCGGAATTACAATTCGACATGAGATTTGAATGGGGACACAGAGCCAAACCATATCAACATTTCTAGTGTAGTTTTGATACTTCTAATTCAGAGTGTTTTTAATGACCCCAAATGTTTCAGGATATTTAATTCAACATGGAATGTTTTTTTTTTCATTTTTTGGCTTTATGTTTGTTTTAGGAGAGTTTTCATTAGGAGGAATTGCTTTCGTCATAATTTTAACAGTCATTTAGCATCGATGTGATCTGCTTTTTCTAACATTATTTATATAGTGAACAGGATTCCTAATTCAAGAGTATTCTTTTTTGTTATTGTTGCTGTTTTCTTTTTTCTTATTTATTTCTTTATTTTTTACAGAAGGGTGTTGGGGAGAGGAAAGAGTTGATGTGTTTTTGTCACCCTTTTTGTTTCTGCAGCAAATATGTATTTCCTTATTTTTCTTCACTGCCTCATTTCAATCCCTTATATATATCACATTCTCTTAAGGAAGCAGTGGTCTTAGAAGGCTGCCACTTTGATCCTGCATACCATCAAGGGTCTTCTGTATAGCCAGTGTTATAACCAAACAAATGCTGACCCATGTTTAGTATTTTAGCATTTAATGATGCAGTTTGTCTTTTAGGGACTGATTTGGTCTATGTTTCATTGATAACCTCTACTGTCCTCATGTTTTTCATGACATCTCTTATGCCTTCTCTTTTGCAAATTCCATACCCACAGATTTGTAATACTAGGTGACTTGGTAGAAATTCTGCTGGAATTTTCTTCTTCCCTTTTCTAAAGGTCATATTTTTCTTGGTCTCCTAGTTAAATTGAAGTCCTGGGTTATGCTTGGATTATTTTGCTATTATTGATTTTATAATTTATTTGGAAGGGTGTGGAGGAGATTCAGAATCAATGGCCCCATCATTATTATCCAACACCAGAGGTTGCCACTTATCTGTATTTTGAACTAGAGCAATCAAAAATTAATTTAAAGCTATTTTGTTTAAATAATCATACAATTTTACTCTCATAAATGATGAATATTAAATGAGAGGTCTAGTTTCAAAAGCAAGAGGTTTTTTGCAGTAAAATATGAAAAATAACAACTTTTATGGGAAACAGAGCAACATGGCTGCACAGAAGCCTCCACTGATTTTCCTTCCTGCAGGGACACCAAATTTAACAACTATCTACACAAAAAAGCAGCACCTTCATAAGAACCACCAGTCAGGTAAGCCATGATAGTACCTGATATTAACTTCATGCCATTGAAAGAGGCACAGAAGAGGGTAGGAAAGAAAGTCTTGAATTGTGGACATCACTCTACCCCTATCTGCTGGCAGCAGCCCAGTGGCAGGGAGAATCTGTGTGCTTGCAGGATGGAGAGGCCAGTGATTATAGGACATTGCATTAGAACCCAGCACTTCCCTGTCACAACAGAAAGCAAAAACTTGTAGAACTTAGCCGACACTGATGGAAGGAGCATGTACACCAGCCCTAGACAGAGAAGAATCATCCATCCCAGTGGTTGGAACTTGAGTTTGGCAAGCCTCACTACTGTGGTCTAAGGTGCTCTTGAGTCCTAAATAAGCATGAAAAGCAGTCTAGGCAACAAGAACTGCAATTCCTAGGCAAGTTCTAGTTCTGTTCTGGGCCGAGAGCAAGTGGAACTGGGGAGCATGTGATCTAATGAGACACTAGCCAGGGTGGCCTAGGGAATGCTTGCACCACTCCTTTCATAACTCCAGGCAGCACAGCTCACAGCTCTGACGGCTTATTTCTTCTGCTTAAGGAGAGGAGAGGGAAGAGTAAAGAGTACTTTGTCTTGGAACTTGGATACCAGCTCAGCCAGAGTAGGCTACAGCACTGGGCAGAGTCATGATGGTCCCATTTTAGGCCCTAGCACCCAGTGATATTTCTAGACACACCATGGGCCAGAAGATTACCCACTGCCTATAAAGGAAGGACCCAGTCCTGGTAGGATCCATCACTTGCTGACCAAAGAACCGTGGGACCCTGAAAATCACCAGTGGTAGCCACGTAATACACCCAGTGGGCCTTGGGTAAGACTGAGACATGCTGGCTTCAGATGTGATCCAGCAATTCCCAGCAGTGGTGACTATGAGGAAAGATTCCTTCTGCTTGAGAAATGCAGAGTGAAGAGTAAAGGGGACTTTGTTTTGCATCTTAGGTACCCGCTCAGCTGCACTGGGGTGAAACACCAATCAGGATCTTGTAGTCCTCAATTCTAGGCTTTGGCTCTTGGATGGCATTTCTGGATGTGCCTTGAGCCACAGGGGAGCCCACTGCCATGAAGGGTGAGTCCTAAGCCTGGCATTCAACACAAGCTGACTGAAGATCCCTTGGGCTTTCAGTGAACATTGCTGGTAGCCTGGCACAACTCTTTGTGGGTCTGTGGCAGTGGGGACCACAGGGAGAGACTACTTTGCTTGTTGAAAGGACAGGGAAGAGTGGAAGGACTTTGTCTTGTGGTTTGGGTGCCAGCTCAGCTGCAGTAGAATACAGCACCACATAGATTTCTATGGTCCTGACTCCAGACCCTGGTTTCTGGATGGCATTTCTGGACCTACTCAGGGCCTGGGGAACTCTCCATCCTGGAGGGAAGGACACAAGCCTGGCTGGCTTTGCTGTCTGCTGATTATAGATCCTTTGGACCTTGAGCAAACATAGGTGGTAACCAGGTAGTTGTTACAGTGGAGCTTGACTGAGATCCAGTGCTGTCCTGACTTCAAGTCTGACCCAATACATTGCCAGTGGTGGTACCTGCCACCCCTCACCCAGCTCCAGGCAGCTTAGCACAGAGAAAGATTCCATTTGCTTGGTAGAAAGTAATGGAAGAGAACAAGCATCTCTGCCTGGTAATCCAGAGAATTCTTTTGGATCTTATGCAGTATCACCAACGCGGTACCTCTGTGAGTCCACAAGAGCCATAGCATTACTGGGTTTGGGGTCCCCCTAATGCAGATATGGCTGCAGTGACCAAAACTTAGATCATAACACACAAGTCCATTCAAAATCATAGGAAGTCTTCCCTAAAAGGACAGGTATGAACAAGCCCAGACTGTGAAGGCTACAATTAATTCTGAATTCTGTAATGCCCAGACACTGACAAATATCCACAAGAATCAAGACCATCCAGGAAAACATTACCTTCTCAAATGAACTAAGTAAGTCACCAGTGACCAATCCCAGAGAGATAGAAATATGTGATTTTTCAGACAGAGAATTTAAAAGAGCTTTTTTGAGGAAACACAATTCAAGATAACAAAGAGAAAGAATTTAAAATCCTATGAGATAAATTTAACAAGGAGATTGAAATAATTAAAAAGAATCAAGTATAAAATCTGGAGTTGAATAATGTAATTGACATGCTGAAGAATTCATCAGCGTCTCTTAATAGAATTGATCAAACAGCAGAAACAATTAGCTTGAAGGCAGGCTATTTGAAAATACACAATCACAGCAGACGAAAGAAAAGAAGAATAGAAAAGATTGAAGCACACCTACAGGATCTAGAAAATAGCCTCAGAAGGGCAAATCTAACAGTTATTGGCATTAAAGAGAAAGTAGAGAGAGAGATAGAAGTAGAAAGAGTTTTTAAAAGCATAATAACGGAGAACTTCCAAAACATGGAAAAAGATATCAGTATTCAAGTACAAAAAGGTTATAGAACACCAAGTAGATTTAGCCCCAAAAAGACTACCTCAAGACATTTAATAATCAAACTCTCAAAGGTGAAAGATAAAAAAAAGGATCCTAAATGCAGCAAGAGAAAAGAGACAAATAACATACAATGGAGTTCCAAGTCTGGCAGCAGACTTTTCAGTGGAAACCCTACAGGCCAGGAGAGAATGAAATGACATATTTAAAGTGCTGAAGGAAAAAGCATTTTGCCCTAGAATGGTATATCCAGCAAAAAATATTCTTCCAACATGAAGGAGAAATAAAAATTTTTCAGTAAAAACAAAAGTTGAGGGATTTCATCAACACCAGACCTGTCCTACAAGAAATACGAAAGGGAGTTATTTAATTTGAAAGAAAAGGATGTTAATGATCAAGAAAAAAATCATCTGAAGATATAAAACTCACTGGTAATAGTAAGCACACAGAAAAACACAGACTATTGTAACACTTTAATTGTGGTATATCAACAATGTATATCTTAAGTAGAAAGATAAAAAATAAATCGGTCAAAAGTAATAACAACAACTTTCCAAGACATAGCCAGTATAATAAGATATAAAGAGAAATAATAAAAAGTTAAAAAGGTTGGAGACAAAGTTAAAGTACAGTGTTTTTATTAGTTATTGCTTTTCCTGTTTGTTTGCTTGTTTTTGTTAATGTAATAAGTGTCAAGTTGTCATCAGTTTAAAATAATGGGTTATAAGATATTACTTGCAAGCCTAATGGTAACCTTAAATCTATAAACATGCAACAGATACATAAAAAGAAAGAAATTAAACATACCACCAGAGAAAATCATCTTCACTAATAAGGAAGGAAGGAAAGAAAGAAGACCACAAAACCACTATAAAAGAAATGGCAAAATGGTGGGATTACATCCTTACTTATCAATGGTAACATTAAATGTAAATGGACTAAACTCTCCAATCAAAAGGCATAGAGTGGCTGAATGGATTTTAAAAAATGACCCAACAATCTGTTGCCTACAAGAAACAGACTTCACCTATAAAGACACATAGACTGAAAATAAACAGATAAAAAAATGACATTCCATGCAAAGTAAAACTAAAAAAGAGCAGGAGTAGCTATACTTACATCAGACAAAGGAGATTTCAAGACAAAACTATAAGAAGAGACAAAGAAGTTTATTATTTAATGATAAATGGGTCAATTTAGCCAGAGGATATAACATTTGTAAATATGTATGCAACCAACACTGGCACAGCCAGATATATAAAGGAAATATTAGAGCTAAAAAGAGACAAAGAAACATTGGACTTAATCTGCATTATGTCTCACCATATACAAAAGTCAACTCAAAGTGGATTAAATACTTAAAGCTAAGACTTGAAACTATGAAATTACTAAAAGAAAAATTTAGGGAAACTCTCCAAGATGTTGGTCTGAGCTAAGATTTCTTGAGTAATATACCACAAGTACATGCAACCAAAGCAAAAATGGACAAGTGGGATGTGTCAAGTTAAAATCTTCTGCACAGCAAAGAAGATAATCAACAAAGTGGGAAGACAACCCACAGAATGGAAGTATTTCCAAACTGTTCATCTGACAAGGGATTATAAACCAGAGTATATAAGGAGCACAAACAACTACATAGGAAAAAATCTAATAATCCATTTAAAAAATGGGCCAAAGATCTGAATTGATATTTCTGAAAAGAAGACATACAAATGGCAAACAAGTACATGAAAAGCTGGAAAACATCACTGATCATCAGATAAATACAAATCACAATAGCAATGAGATGTCATCTCATCTCAGTTAAAATTACTTCTATCTAAAAGACAGGCAATAGTAAATTCTGGGGAGGATGAGGACAAAAGGGAGCCCTCATACCCTGTTGGTCAGAATGTAAATTAATACAAGTACTATGGAGAACACTTTGAAGATTCTTCAAAATACTAAAAATGGATCTGCCATATGATCCTGCAATCCCACTTCTAGGTATATACCCAGAAGAAAGGAAATCAGTATGTCTAAGATATAGACATACTCCCATGTTTATTGCAACACTATTCACAACAGCCAGGGAGTGGAAGCAACCTAAGTGCTCACAAACAGATGAATGGATAAAGAAAATGTGGTATATATACACAAAGGAGTAATATTCATCCATAAAAAAAAGAGTGAGATCCTTTCATTTGCAAATGAGGTTATTATGCAAATGAATTGGAGATCATTATGTTAAGTGAAATAAGCCAGGCACTGAAAGAAAAGCTTCCCATATTCTCACTTATTTGTGAGAGCTAAAAATTACAACAATCGAACTCAGAGAGAGAGTGGAATGATGATTACCAGCAGCTGGGAAGGGTAGTGGGGCTGGTGGGAAGTGGAGATGATTAATGAGTACAAAAATATAGTTAGATAGAATGAATAATCTCTAGTATTTGATAACACAACAGGGTGACTACAGTCAACAATAATTTATTGTACATTTTTAAATAACTTTTAGTTATTTAGTATCCAGTATTTTAGTTATTTAATATAATCAGATTGTAATACAAAGAAAAGATAAATGCTTGAGGTGCTGGATACCCCATTTACCCTGTTGTGATGATTATGCATTGTGTGCCTATATCAAAATATTTCATGTGCCCCATAAATATATACTCCTACTAAATACTCAGAAAAATATTTAAAAAGTAAAAAGCAAAAACAATGAAATTACGTCTTTAGAGGGCCAAAAGGAAGAAAAAGTCAATGTAGAATTCTATACTGGATAAAAATATTCTTCAAAAATAAATATTATTTAGACAAAACTGAATGCATTTATAGCAATCTTCATTACAAGAAACACCAAGAAAGTTCTTCGGCTTGAAGGAAAATATTTGTAAATGGAAGCACATAGTATACAGAAAGAAGAGAAGAGTTCCAGAATGTTCAACCATAGATACAAAGTCAATATTAAAAAAAATAACTGTACTGTTAGAGACTAGCAGCAAATGATTACATAAATAAACCCTTAAAAATGCTATTTATAATAGCATAAAATCATGAAACACCAAGAGAGATTTTAATAGATGTTTGAGACCTCTATTTTGAAAATATTAAAATACTGCTTAGAGAATTTAATGAACAGAGAAATAAATGGAGATCATCTATAAATTTATTATGATTCTAATCTATATTTAAGCATGTTTCTTTTCTTTTGGTGGACATTAAATAATTTTAATATTTATATGAAATTCAAAAGACATAGCTAGAATAATGTTTAAGAAGAAGAATGCATATTACCAGTTTTTAGGATTCATTATAAAATTAGAATAGTTAAATGACTATGGGATTTGCACAAGGATCACATCAAGAGGTGGGATAAACTAGAGTATAGAATAGACCAACACCTATACATTGAGGAAAGGATAATGTTTACATGAAAATAGTAATTTATTCTTTCCATATATACAAATTAACTTGAAATTTACAAAATACATGTCTGTAGTAGCATTCATGTTTGTCCCCAAGTAACTAGCACATTTCAAGGCACATGATGGATATTGGATAAAGAGTTGATGAAACAGTGACAACATAAACTTCATTACTGAGAAAGTTTTATTAGAATGCACTACTAAAATAAAAGAAAAATTAAATTTAAAGAATGCACTATTAATAACAGCAATAAGACTGATCCTGCAAGTTTTCTTCTTGAGGATTGAAGAAATATAAATGAATGCTCATCCTACTGATGGTTGATATGTGGCCCTAGATTTAAATTTAAGGGGATTTACAACTGACCTCCAGTCTAGGAATTCATAGTCACTCATTTATTGAGCCTATCACAAAGTAGAGTTCTTTATTTGGTGTTGAAGGGGCCAGGGAAAGAAAGAAATGGAAAAGTGGTGTTCCATGTTGCTTCCTTATTACTAAACATGAGAAACTGCATTATGTAAAGTGATTTCTAAAATTTCTATAGTTCCACATATTATCAGTATCAACATATCATACTGTCATATGGTTCCATGTATTGATAATACCATTCAAAATAGTTGACTTGAGAAGTTTTAATCTAAATTAGCGTAAAAAGCAAACATGGAAAAAACACATATGGATGAAATATTATGGAGCTGGTGTCTTTTAGTGAAGAACAGAAGAGATCATGAAAAAAGAAATAAACAAAATATGTTAAAATTCACCAAAAAGAAAAATAATAAAATGATCTACTATCTTCTCCTCTTTTATATTGTGATAAACAGAGATTCAAGTTTTTAAAAAGAAAAATTGGGCCAGGTGCAGTGGCTCACACCTTTAATCCCAGCACTTTGGGAGGCCGAGGCAGGCAGATCACTTGAGGTCAGGAGTTCAAGACCAGCCTGGACAACATGGTGAAACCCCATCTCTACTGACAGTACAAAATTAGCTGGGTGTGGTGGTAGGGGCCTATAATCCCAGCTCCTTGGGAGGCTGAGGCAGGAGAATTGCTTGAACCCAGGAGACAGGTTGCAGTGAGCCGAGATTGCACCGCTGAGCTCCAGCCTAGTTGACAGAGTGAGACTCTGTTTCAAAAGAAAAAAAAAAAGAAAAAAGGAAAAAGAAAAGTTGGATCACTTAGCTATATATAAGGAGACAATAAAATACTTATGGATGGTTTAAAATGGATACCAATAAGGTTTTTCTATAAGTTGGATTTCTGTATTTGGTTGTCTTTTCTAAAACTCCTGGAACTAATCAATCAGGGCCATACTAATTTGCTAAAAATGAATTTTCAAAATAATATTGAAAGTTTCAAAAATCTTTTCTGATTCATGACTTATTTCTTGCAAGTTAGTGCTTTCTCTTTATTAATTCAAGCATCATGGCTTCTTTGCCAATATTTTATTCAATCCTGAAAACTAGCATAACTGACATCTATTTATTTTCATGAGACTGATATAGGGGGTTGACGCCATTTAGATGAAGAGCTCAGAATTAAAATTTTCTAGAATTTCTGGGTCTTTGTGTTACAGCATGTGTAACAACTACTTTAATATCCTTAATCCTAATATAGGGTCACATGACCTTAAATGTAGGAAATTTGTAAATGAGTGCTTTTATTGCAGACAGAAAAAACATACATGCAATTTCATCTTTTTGTTGTGGATTATATTTTTATAATTCTAAATATGTTTGAACTTTAAATACTATGTTAGCACAGTTAGTCCTCATTATTTATGGATTTCATATTTGTGAATTTTACTACTCACTATGAAATATGTTGATAATCCCCAGGCCAATACTCATGGTGTGTTTGCTGTAATTCACGGACATGTACAGAACATTGAAAAATGTGAATTGTTCAAACCACATATTCCAGTCATGTGAGAAGAAGGCAAAACAGCAGTCTGCCTTCTTGTTTCAGCTCTCATGTTATAAACGAGTGTCCTTTTTGCAGCCTAGTTAGTGCCAAGAGCTTTGAATTTTCATCCTTTTACTTGGTGATTTTACTTTTAAGATGGTCTAACCATCTTAACCCAACCAGTGGTGAAGTGCTGTTTATGATGAAATAGACAAGAAGCACAAGAAGACTATGATGTGCCTTACAATGAGAAAATATGAGTGTTAGACAAGCTTTGTTTAGCGTGAATTATAGTGCTTTTGGCTGTGAGTTCAATGTTAATGAATCAACAATACGAATATCCAGAAAAAGGAAGAGGAAATTTGCTGAGCTGTATATGAAGTTGCTTCGTAAAGTGCAAAACTAACATCTGTACCACATGATAAAACTATGGAAAACATGGAAAAGTGGCTAAATCTGTGGATTCATGAAATGACAGGCAAGCGTAGAGAATAGCATTATTTTGATGCGGATAGCCAAAGAAATTTATGCTCATGTTATTCAGGATTTTAAAGATGCTATGCTAAATCCTTCTGGACTAGTGCTACATGGCCCACATGTTTCAAAGAGTGATAGCATGAACATGATAAACTTGCAGGTGAGGCATATTCTGCGGATAGGAGGCTGTGAAAAACATTTTTAAAAGAATTCTGAATTCTTTATAATTATGTTTATGATGGAACACATTTATGTTTAGCTTATAGTTTGTTTTTTTATGATCAAAGAGACTGGAGCTAATTGCATCTTACTCTCTTTTCATTATAGTGTATATAAGATTTGGCTCAAAACATCAATGTAACCCTCTAGCTCATAACTATTACTGGTTTTCCAGACTCCAGACTAATACCTCCCTGTTTCATGCTGTCTCCTTTACAGTGTGTCACCCAAAAGATTACAAAATGTTTTGAAAAACCCCTAGGACATTGCTGCCTGGTTATATGTAGTAGAGTACTGATGGTACCTATCTGTCTACTCCTTACAGCAACTGGTGGTAGGGCTGCAACTACAAGAATTAGATAAAATTGATTAATGATACTGTGATCTGCTACCAAGTTTGCTATTGGAAAATAGTTCACTGATTGTAAGGAACACAAAGAATTAAATGAAGACAGGAGAAATTTCTTCTAAAAGAATAAAATGAAGTGTAATAATTTCCTGCATACCTCAGGGAGATAGGGATATGAAAACATTTTCATGACTTCAGGATATTAATGTGGCCTATGTCAGCGATTCTCAAATTGTGATGTATCCCTTAAACCCTTTCTGAAGGTCTAATAGGTCAAAACTTTTTAAAAATAATAATAGTATGATGGTTTTGTCTTGTTCACTTTGTTGACATGTGCACTGATTGAGACAGGAAGTAGTGGTTAAAATTTCTGATGTCTACATTTGAAGGAAGACAGTGACTACACATCATTTATAATGAAATGCAAAGTAAGTGTAAACAATACTGGCTTCATCCTCATGTGTGATGAATGTGTAGAGTAAAAGCACTTGTGCGACTGTTTGAGTTGCAAAATAAAGTAGCTAGTTTTTCGTAGAACATCATTTTTAACTGAAAGAATTACTATGGGTAATTTAACTGAAAGAGAATCTATGGATGTTAAAACTTGGGTATTTTGCAGACATTTTCTGTGAAAATATAGGAAGTGAGTCATTCGAATAAAACAAGTAACTATTTATTGCCAATGGTAAGTCAAACTTTCAAGTGACAATTTGAATTTTAGAAAACTTGTATCCATGTTCACTGTGACCCTGATAGTTTTCCAATAAAGATTATTCTGAGAAAAGTTATAAACAAACGTATTTTCATATTGCATTTGAAATGTGTAAAAATTTGCTAAATCTGCATAGCCCAAATAACCAGTATTTTCCAAATGACTAATGCAGAATGTTACAAAATCATGAAGAAATTTAAAAATTCATTCAAAATGCAAGATAAATCAATATATTTAACCAATTAGAGTATGAAATATTCATTGTCAGGGCTTTTATTTTCACATTGCAAGTAAACTGTAAGGAACTATTACTTGCTGAGTTTTGATGTAGTATCAAAGCAGGATATCTCAATTATCTGAAAAATCTGCCAGAATACTATTCCAATTTCTAACGGAATATATGTGTGAAACAAAATAACATAACAAAAACAACATACTATAGCAAATTGAATTCAAAGGCAGATTTGAGAATCTGGCTAGTTTCTAATAAGGCAGATACTAATTTTTTTAAATGAACAAAATGCCATTTTTCTTACTGGTTTTTTGATAATAAAAGTATTTGATATTTAAATATTTTATGTATATTAATGTTTTAGGTTTATTGTTTTTACATTCAAAATTCAGAAATGTTTTTAAATTATACTGTTAAATTTAATACAATAAAGTGTTTATAGATGTAGCCCAAACAAATGCTCTTATAGGCCTTAATCATTTTTAAGAGGGTAAAAGTGTCCTAAGATAAAAAATTTTGAGAGCTGCTATACCACATTTTGAAAATCATAGTATAAGGTTTCATTATTATCTTAAATAAGTTATGCTTAAAAGTGAAATGGTAGTTAAAAAGGATAATCAAAAGGAAGATCTCAGAACTTGCTTGAGATTTGGAGAGCCAGTCGACTGGTATAACATGATACAAGGACTCATTTTCAAGTGTGAATTACAATGGTAACATTTATTGAGGACAATTAGGTTTTTACATACATAATTTTGTTTTCTTTTCACACAACTTGTTGAGGTAGATACTATTACCATAATTTTGTAGATTTGAAGAACATAGCCCACTGAATTTTGGTAACTTTACTGCACACAGAAGGAGAGATTTGAGAATAAGATAAGGGACACCTCCCTGACTAATTCATTCTATGAGGCCAGCATTCTCTTGATACCAAAATCTGGTAGAGATACAACAAAAACAGAAAACTTCAGGCCAATATCCTTGATGAACATAAATGTAAAAATCCTCAGTGAACTACTGGCAAATTGAATACAGCAGCACATCTAAAAGCTAATCCACCTTGATTAAGTTGGCTTTATCCCTAGGATGTAAGGTTAGTTCAATATATGCAAATCAATAAATGTAATTCACCACATAATAGATGCAGAAAAGTCCTTTGATAAAATTCAACATCACTTCATATTAAAAATCCTCAACATACTAGCCACTGAAGGAACATACCTCAAATAATAAGAGCCATCTATGACAAATCCACGGCCAACATCATACTGAATGGGCAAAAGCTGAAAACGTTCCCCTTGAGACCTGGAGAGAGACAAGATGCTCACTCTCACCACTTCTATTCAACATAGTACTGGAGATCCTAGCCACAACAATCAGGCAAGAGAAAGAACTAAAGTGTAAACAAATAGGAAGAGAGGAAGACAAGCTATCTCTCTTCATGGATGAAATGAGAGGTGAGAGGATCAAAAAACTACCTTTTGGGTACTATGCTTATTACTTGAGTGACAAAATAATCTGTACTGAACCCATGTGACATGCAATTTACCTATATTAGAAACCTTGACATGTACCTCTCAACCTAAAATAAGAGTTTAAAAAAAGATACTGTCAAAACAACACAGTTCTTTCTATTTCTGTTGTACCACTTTGTAATATCAAAGGGTCCTTTCTTTTCCTCTTTAGGTTTCGAGATAACATCCATACCATACATAAAACCAAGTATAGTTGATTTTTATACTACTTTTTCATTATAAAATTAATGCATGTAAAAAAGTATCATTAAATATTCCTCTATAACAGTTTTAGTTACTAAGTAGAATTTAACTGTATGGCTATACCATAAGTTATTTAATTCCTGTCATTGTTGATCAAATATATTTTCAACATTTTGTTATCGTAAATGATGTAGCAATGTACACTCTTCAATTATAATTTTGAATATATCCGTAATTCCTTCACAACACGATTAAAACTAGAACTATTAAAATGTACCTCTAGATTGTACTGCAGAAATATTGTTGCTGTTAATATTAATCTAGTCTAATATTTATTGTCAGTTCCCTACTGGGGTAAATACTTTTGTTTTATTTTTGTTTGTTTTTATCTCTAGTATCACTAACTAACTTTGCATTGTTTCATGTGATCATAGGCTATTTGCTTTGTAAAAGTTATTCACTATTGAAATGGTATGTGTCAGTCATTGCTCTAAGTGTTTTATATATATACACATTACATATATATACATATACATTTATATTGACACATTTATTTCTGAAAACAACCCTTTGAAATAATGTACCGGTCAGATTAGGTGAAGATATGCTGATATAATGAGCAACACTAAAATCTCAGAGGCATGCAACAACAAAATTTTGTTGTTGCTCACATTACATATTTATTGTGGGCCAACAGCAGCTCTGCTCTCCCTCTTCTTCATTATAGTACCCAATCTGAAAGATTAATTCCTATTGGAATTTTTAAAATCTTACGGCAAATGGAAAAGGGAGGGGGCTTAACCACAAGATGACTCTTAACATTTCTGTGTGTAAGTGGTTCCCATCATTTTAGTGCACATTGCTTTGACCAAAAGAATTCAAATAGTTAAACACATCTTAATGGGATTATGATTTTTAGTTCCTCCATATGGAGAAGGATCAGAAATCGCAGTCATGATATCAATGAGCAACAGAAAGTATTCTTGCACAAAGAGGGTGGCAAATATTTGAGAACAAAGACATAATCCACATTTTGTAGATGAGAAAACTGAGATACAGAGAGTTTGAGTAACTTACCCATACTGAGAGATTTAATAAATGGTGCAGCTGGGATGCAAGCCTGAGCACTCTGGTTTCAAGGAGTGTGCTCTGGTCCAATGATAGAAGATAAAATTTATCCAGAAAAAGTTACCTAGCACCTCATAGTATTTTACAAATATGACAACCCTAGAAATTATTGTCCAAAGTTGGACCCTTTTTCTTGGATAAATGCTAAACTGGGTGGGATATATTAACTAGTTTTAACCTGGGATTGTCCCAATTAAACCAAGATGTGAGGTAAATCTTGAGGCAAATTTTATAAAACATTATACTATTGGGTAGTAATTAAGGGTTTTGGCAAGCTTGTTTAAGAAGTACCAACCAAGGAAACACTTATTATAGAGGCTTCACTGCAAAATACGTTATATAATACCCTCCAATGCACACTAAGTTTCTGAGTTGGTTTTGCTTCTTTGCTATATTCTGTAAGTGAAACTTATTAACGTTTGCAGCATTTCCTAAGGTGGTCTCTAAAATCTGCTCTATTTTAGCACTTTTAAACTACCATTTGAAGTAACAAATATTTCTAAAGGAGGCCAAATAATAGTTGTAAAGTTTGAATAAAGCAGGATAAATAACAAAACACACTAGGAATTTATTAGTATAACAGTGAAAAGAAGCAAAACTTCTAGACTTGAGCTTATATGCTTATTGTTTTGTGTGCTTAGTGGAGGAATGTATAAATGCGGCTGAGTATACAAACTATAAAATCTCTAATTTTAACATTGCTTGTTTATATATTAGGAACTTTTAGGGGAGTTTTGATTTGCAAGTTTTTATAGGTTTACCAGACTCATTAATTGCCTGGGAAGAACTTTACAGGATTTCCTTTGGTTTATGTCTAATCTTTGAAATTGGAAAACTTAAAAGTGAAATATAAATTCCTCATGGAGAAGTGATCATGAGGTCTGAATAGAATCAGGTAATTCCCAAGAGACATGCAAGATAATAATAAAGACACAAAAAATTATTCCATATCATTTGTGCCCTTATTTGTGAGTAAAGGGGTGGAAAATAAAATAAGATGTCATTTTCATCTATTGAATTGGCAAAGATTTTAAAATATAATATTGAATGGTTGTAAGGGATTGGTCAAATGAGCATTCTCTTATATGGCTGGTGAGAATTTAAATAGACACAAATTTTGTGGCAAGTAGTTTAAAATGAAAAACACACAAGAATTTATACATGTTCTTAGTCATTGACATCAAGGAATGTATGCTTTGGAAATACCCACAGATTTTAATGACATATTTATCTTCTAGAATTATTTTTAGTGTTGAAAAACTAGAGGCAATAATGAAAGGTTAAGTAAATTATGTCTGTCCACATGGGGGAAGGTTACACAGCATTTTTTTAAAATCATGCTTTCAAATAATATATCTTAGGAAATTTTAATTATTCAATCTTGAATGAAAATAGCAGTCTGCAAAATTGTTAAACAGAGAATGGTCACAATTTTTAAAAACAGAAGGAAATATAATCATGTATCAGATTAACAGCAGTTGTAAACCGTGTTGTAGAAAAATGAGTAATGTTTGCCTTTCAAAACTATGGATATTTTCCAAATACTCTGCAGTTTTCTAATTATAATCAGAAAACAGTTATTAAACAAAGTGAAAGAAATTAAAGTTTAAATTTACCAGTATAAGTTGCTTCTTTGGAGGGTATATTTTAACTTATTGACTACCATCAGATTTACTAAATATCATAGCACGTAATTTCATTTAAATTCACCACACATTACTTTTCTATGTAGTTCATTTACCACAGGTATAATATTGCCATTTGTATTACTAGTAGAAATTATACTTAATACATTGAATTTATGCCATAGGAAAAAGAAAATTAAAATTATGTTCTTATTGTATATGCACATATTTTCTTCTTGATAAAGGATTTGTCTCAAACAGATTGTAATGACAGATGATAGCTATAGATAGATAGATAGAGTAAACATGTAAGCTACTACAAGGATCCAATTAGAGTGAATTTAGGTTGGAAGAAGGTTCTTTCTTCATCTTTCTTTATCTCTGAATAATTTCAAAGTTGACAGACCATGGTTGCTGACATCTTTATTGAGAAAACAAGAGTTTTGCCCACGCTTATTTAAATGTACTTATATTTTCCTGTTTGCTTTACATATTACATATGATGAACTTTTGAGGATGGGGGTCATAATTTCCTTTTTTTCTATCTTTCTGAACTAAAATATATATGTAAAAACTCAATAAATGATAGAGAATTAATTACTGAACATATGTTTGTATTCACACAGAAAGGTGGTAAATATAGAAGTTGATAGGCAGCTTCTAGAGCCAGATCACTTGTGTTTAAATCCCAGCATTGCTATGTGGCTTCAAGAAAGTTACTCAATTTCTCTGTGCCTCAGTGACTTCAATTCAAGTATAACATGAAGAAAATAATGCTACTCATCTTTGGAGTGGTGAAGTGACTTAATGCTTACCAAACACTTAGAATATGCTGGCATATGGCACATTTAGCTATTATCATTTCAAGATAATTTCCTTGCTAAGTGACTATAATGATTACAACTCATAACTGTAGCTTTGAGGAATACGTACACATATTCAAAGCTGGGAATTGTTTGTTGGCAGCTCTACTGGTATATGGAGGGATACAGAAGAAAATCATCATATGTACAGCTAATCACCAAGAGATTTATGGATATAAAGAAATACATGGTAACAAGAATGTTTATTGATGAATTTATAATTAGTGAGATAAAATTTACAAATGGTATGGGATATCATTAAAAAGCTTTTAGAAAAGGAAATTCTTATGGGGTACACAAAACAATATGAAGATAAATATTTGTGAACTGGAAAAAGCTGGCCTTTCAATCTAGACAGGATATATTATGCAAGTAGTCACTTAATTGAGCCTTTCCTTTTTCTGACTTAGATAATTGATAAAAAATATATATATTTTTATTTCAGAGCAGGATGGAAGTTTATTTAACAGCTTTATAACAGGAAACAAAGGAAAGTACTCTTGGAAGAGACCACACAGGCACCTTGGAGGTCAAGTGACCTGTTTAACCTTGCACCTCAAATTTTATATGCTGGACTACTTCTTTCATCTTGTACCCCTTTCCCTTTATTCGTCCCTCATGATGAGTCACCCACATGCATGGTGCCCTCCTTATGCTCCAGAGATGAGCATGCAGAGTGTGATTACGAAGTTGCTTGCATACTTACCTCAGGCTTTTTTCCATGATACAAAGGATATTTTTGAAATACAAAAAATAACCTTTTAAGTAATTTGCCAATGTAAGGCATTATGATTACTACTTTTCTTATTAATAATCATCATCGAACATAGAAAATTAAAGCAAAGTAAAATTAAATTACTTTGCCCCTCCATTGGAGAAGGAATATTAAGGAAAATTTACATTACATTTTATTCTTTTGTTTATTTTTTATATAGTTCTTGGGATTGCATTTTTTGAAGTTGAGTATATTTGGGTATAATGTGCTTTAATACATTGAACTTCTTCCACCCCTTTGTTTTCTAAAGGGCTTTTTTGTTGAATTTTAAAGGAAGTTTAGATTTTTAAAAACCCAACATTGTTGTTAATAGAGTTGAAGATACGTGCGTGTGTTATTTCAACAAAGGCTGCTGGGTGGAATGTGTACTGTGGGAACCTTTATTTAAGCAATTTTGCTGCTTTAGTTGCATCCTTTATTCATTCTGCAAAAAATTCACTAGCCATGAGCTGGAGTACGGCTACTCTTTTCCCATTCCCCCACTGTTGATCAAATAAAGCTATGGAAAAAGAAGGAGAGGGAGAAGTAAAAGGAAAGAGAAGAAAGAAGAAGGATTAAGTATTACCTTCAGGACCAAAGAGTGGAAGTATTTTCTTTAACATTTAATGAAGTAAATAAAGGGAGTACAAAGTCAAGTAGCAATAAGAAAAACTTGAAATGCACGAGGGCAGGAAATTGCTCTGTAAATATGATTAAATTCTAGACCCAACATTCAGTGGAAACAAGTTTTAGAATTTTTCCATTAGAGATCATTAAAAACATTATTTCTCTCAAACAAGGTGACAAGTGGAAGAGCGTGCACTTGATTTCTAAATTGCCACCCTCCTTAGATTCTTCTGACATACTAGCAGTGGCCAAATTCCAATATACATTCATAGTTCAATGCACCTTTTCATACTGTGGAGGCACCTGCATATCCACTTTCTCCCTAATCCTTTGACTATTCAAATAATATTATCAATGCACAATTATGTCAGTGATTTTTCTTCATGAATTGTAACCCTGTGCTAGCTAAAGTATGTCACCATCATATCAGTGCTAGTAAATATTGTGGTTCCTTGGGTGAAACTCAAAGACTTGTATTCAGGATCCTTAAACATGTTATCCATCTAGTTTCTAAGAGGGAGGACAGGAAATGTTTAGTTTTAAAGTTTAGTTTTTTGTGTTTTTCATGGCCTGTAGCATAAGTCCCCATGTTGCATAGTCACACTGAAACTTGATATTATATTTTGTGGTTGCTGTGCATCCAAGATTCCTTTATACTCCTCACATATAAACTGAGTTTTATGTCCTTACTGCCTGAATTTTCCTTAGAAGTCCTGTAATCCAAATGATTTTAGCATCAACTCCACAGAGAAGTCATGAAGCCTGTAGACCATACTCTATGTAAATCTCTGGTTCATTTCTCGTTGCTAATCTCCACCCTCGTACCCTTCCCTTGACTTTGTCACTTGTATTTTTCTTTTAAACCCTTTCCATATTTAAAACACCACAATATTGACATGTGAGCCATCTTCTCGAGAGAGAATCAGGTATTCTCTTAGCCTTCTACCTTCTGTTGCCGTTCCAAGGCTATTACTGTTTAGAGCTTAACTTCTTGTAATAACTTGCATCACTCCCCTTGTGTCCTCTTAACAAACAATCACATCACTGCTCACTCATCATTTCCCTCAATGTGACAGTATGAAGAATTCAATTTAATCCTTGCTATATGGGAGTGACAGTAGAAAACTGGGCCATGATGGATCAAGCATTATCAATTCCACAGATGCTCTTACCCAAAACTCAGGTCATAAATACTGTGAACGTGCCCTGAAAATACTTTCTACTTGTATCCTCACCCAAATTATACGCATTTATACCATAGCGCAATATATTCCCCCATACTACTGAGGAAATTCCTATATCTATGAATGCTACAAGAGATCCAAATGTAGTTTGCTTTGAAGGTAGACCATTGTCAAATGACCGTTGATTAATCTTATTTATGCTTTGATAATATGTATAATGTTTAACAGCTTGAAGTAGCCTCAATCTTTAATGGACATTTGTGGTGAAACCACAATAAAACAGTGCTTGAGCCTT
The DNA here is from genome assembly GCF_000001405.40 of Homo sapiens. Taxonomy (NCBI): domain Eukaryota; kingdom Metazoa; phylum Chordata; class Mammalia; order Primates; family Hominidae; genus Homo; species Homo sapiens. The sequence goes on from NC_000002.12 coordinate 154,081,873, forward strand.
GGGTTTTCATAGTCTCTAGGCTCTAATTCAAGCAATTTCCTATCCATACAACCAATAGATTCTTCAAATATCTTGTGAATATGACAAATTTCTTCTAAAATAGCATAGCTTTCTAGTTCCTAGCTTCTGTTTAAAATCTAGAAACCAATTTATTATTCCCTATCCAAATAGATTCCCTAGGTACATAACCCTATATCCAAAGGTTACAGTGTAAATATAAAGAGAACTTTATCAATGGTTTTATGATGTGTATTTTTAAAGGAATTTTCTCCTTTGTTTTTTAAAACAATGTAACCTATATGAATTTTGTTTTCATCTTAAACCAAATGAAACTGAAGTAATATATCTTACCTAGGGTCAGAAAACAAAGATACAATGGAGTTGAGATTTGGCTTGGTGGTGTTGTCTTCACATTAGGGATTTTCCTCTGTCTTATGTGCCAGAGCAGTTGAGAATTCTATATGACATTAAAAATCTCTTAATTTTTAGTTCATAAATATTGAAAATTAATTTGATTATTGATTCTGTTGATTAAGGTTGTTGCACATAAACGTGCCTAAAATTCCTTAGTGCTCCTACTTTCTGAGTTAGCTGGAATGCTTGTGCTTTGGGCATACCTTATGTGCAACTCTATTGTGATGAATATTATGAAATGTAACTGTTTCTTCACTGAAAGGAACAAATGATAAATATTTCATCGAATGAATACGTACTATTGTTGTTGAGCTTTCTGAGTTGGAGAAAGAGCAGACTTTCTTGAGGAAGTGGTTTCGAATCAGAACTAGAAAGATGAGAAAGACATCTTCCTTCCATTTTCCATGGCCACCTCTGCTTCAGACTCACCTTTTTTCTGTTCATATCCTTTGCCCACTTTTTGATGGGTTTGTTTGTTTGTTTCTTGAAAATTTGTTTAAGTTCTTTGTAGATTCTGGATACTAGCCCTTTGTTAGATGGATAGATTGCAAAAATTTCCTCCTATTCTGTAGGTTGCCTGTTCACTCTGGTGATAGTTTCTTTTGCTGTGCAGAAGCTCTTTAGTTTAATTAGATCCCATTTGTCAGTTGTGGCTTTTGTTGCCATTGCTTTTAGTGTTTTAGTCATGAAGTCTTTGCACATGCCTTTGTCCGGAATGGTATTACCTAGGTTTTCTTCTAAGGTTTTTGTGGTTTTAGGTCTTACATTTAGGCCTTTAATCCATCCTGAGTTAATTTTTGTATAAGGTGTAAGGAAGGGGTCCAGTTTCAGTTTTCTGCATATGGCTAGCCAGTTTTCCCAACACCATTTATTAAATAGGGAATCCTTTTCCCATTGCTTGTTTTTGTCAGGTTTGTCGAGGATCAGATGGTTGTAGATGTGTAGCATTATTTCTGAGGCCTCTTGTCTATTCCACTCGTCTATATATCTGTTTTGGTACCAGTACCATGCTGTTTTGGTGACTGTAGGCTTGTAGTATAGTTTGAAGTCAGGTAGCATGGTGCCTCCAGCTTTGTTCTTTTTGCTTAGGATTGTCTTGGCTGTATGGGCTCTTTTTTGGTGCCATGTGAAATTTAAAGTAGTTTTTCCTAATTGTGTGAAGAAAGACAATGGTGGCTTGATGCGGATGGCATTGAATCTATAAATTACTTTGGGCAGCATGGCCATTTTCATGCTATTGATTCTTCCTATCCATGAGCATGGAATGTTTTTTCATTTGTTTGGGTCCTCTATTATTTCCTTGAGCAGTGGTTTGCAGTTCTCCTTGAAGAGGTCCTTCACATCCCTTGTAAGGTGTATTCCTAGGTAGTTTATTTTCTTTGTGGCAACTCACCTTTTTATGACTTGCACCACGGATAATTAAGTGATGTCTTTGTGTCTTCTCACCAGACAACCATGTCCCTGCCTGACCTTTCCTTTTATGTGACAGTAGCAGCAGTTGTATTTTAGTTCCTGCTGAAGTGAAGAAAGTGAAGTTTTAAAGAAAGTAATGGTTTGTGAATTGGGATGATATGACAGACTTTAGTAATAAGAGTAGTTTGCCTGTGTTGGAGAATCCTAGAAAATGAGTAACAACTGTCATGAAGAATGATTCAAACGTGATGTTTTCATTGATAGGAAGAGAGAATGATCATATCTGCAACCTAAGGACTAAAAGAGCTGATGTCTTGGGCTCCGTATCCACATAGGCTACCTCTGGAATACTAAAACAAATGTACTTCTCAATTTTTACTGGAGAAGAGATGCAGTTTAAACGCTGCCACAGAGTTAGTATTTTTAGTGTCCCAAACAATAATGGTCCAGATGTGTTATTTCAACTATAAATTTCACTTTTTATTGTAAAAGGTTAAAGAACTTTACAAAATAATTTTTATTAAGTTTCTTACATTTGTTTTTCTGGCCATTCTCTCTATAGTTTTCTAATTATAAATTAATGATGGGAAATTTATTACCAAACTGGTTCACAAGATTCTTTGTTTACATAGTTTCTACTATACCAGTTTGACTTGAATTATAAAAATTAGGTTGATATATCTCGAGTATGAAAGGACCCTTTAAAATTCAATTGTGAGCTGTGAAACAATATTACAACTCTAAGGTAAGCCTACTAAATTTTAGGAAATTGATTTTAAGTAGAGTATAATGTAATCCCTAAATTATTTAAGTCTACTTGGAAACATATTTTATACTGTAAAACTGCTTACTACAATACTAATGCTTTCACTTGCCTCTATTACAAATGCTGAAAAACTCATATTAAAACAAATCTATCTTTCATGCCAACTATAATACAGATATTGTGTCTTAGTTAAAATAATAGGGAAGCGTGTTAGTGCCCAGGTAAGATTTCATGCTAACAGTGCTGCCTAAGAATAACTTTATATAAAGGTTTCCTTCTTCTTTCTGAAAGTTATTTTTTAATTGCTCAACATAGGCCAATCCTTAGTGACATTGTATTTGAAATTGTTTAAGAATCTATTTATATTTTGAGTAACTTATCATGATTAACAAGTTTGAACATTTGCCTTAAATTTGTTAAGAAGGAAATTTCTATATTCTCTTTCACTGTTTACTTTTTTCTTCCTCAGTAAGGCAATTTAATTGCTTTCAAGTAATTTCAAGGTCATCCTTAGTTTTTGGTCTTGTGCATGTTCCCAAGAACTTAATTATAGAAGTTTTTCTGTAATGAATATGACAGAGAACCCAACTCTACACAACTGATCTATATTTATGTTCCTACTGAGGCATGGTAGTCCTCCTTCCCCACACTTGCCTGCCCATGAAATCGAAATATTTGGCAGGATTAATTCTCAAAAGATAAAAACACTCTAATTGAAGAAAAGTATCAATTCAAATCATATCTTTTAAGAAGAAATATATTCTTTACTTTCCTGCTTAAATTTGAAATAGTAGCAGTTGAAAATTGTGGATTGGAACTAATTACTGATTAAAACAAAGTACACCTATGAGTTTTAATAGAAGCAGTAAGAGTAATGTGTAAATGACTTTTCTTTGTTCATGGAAACCATTGTGGTTTTCAGGTGCAGCTTACCTTCACAAAAGCTAATTGTAGAGATAATTACATCCAAATGCACAAATTGGGGAAAACACAGAGAAGCTTCATTCAGAATTCACTGACACTATGAAAGACAGGATGGTATAAAAGAGTTAGTGTGCTCTGAAAAAGGAAGTTCTTAAAAACTTTGGAACTCCAGAGTCTTGGGTTTGATTTCTGCTTCCATCATTTAATTGAATTTCAGGCAGGTTATCTAAACTCTGCCTCAGTTTGCTCATTGTTCATGCAACAGAGTTTCTATGCAGACTACACATAGTAATATATTTTAAGCTTTAGACATAAATAGAGTTCATTCCTCACTGACCGATTTTCTTTTAATAAATAAATCATTCTTAAAATTTCTTTTCTTGAAGTACGTTATAGGTCAGATACAATAGCTCACTTCTGTCCCAGCAATTTGGGAGGCCAAGGTGGGAAGATGGCTTAAGGCCAGTTTTTCAGGACCTTCTTGGACAACAGAGTGGGGCTCCATCTCTACAGAAAAAATTAAAATAAAAAATAAACGTAAAAAAATAAAGTATGTTGTAATTTGGCCTGTTTAATTTGACAATGCCATTAGTAGTATACACTGGAAAGCTGTTATACTATGGTTGTTGCCCATTGTCAGTAGGCAACATTTCAATGAGCTGTAATGTTAAACTGAAAATACCCTTTTTCTTGAGCAATTATGTGCTATTTATATATAATATATATTATGTGATTATATATCATATAATAAAGTATATATTATATAGAATACATATAATACATTTACATATAATATGTATAACATTTTCTATAATGAATACGCCAGAGAACCCAATTCTACACAACTGATCTATATTTATGTTCCTACTGAGTCATGGTAGTCCTCCTTCCCCACACTTACCTGCCCATGATATCGAAATATATAATTATATGTTATACATATTATATAGCAATTATAGGCATCACACAATTTTCTTTATATATCACCAATTCTATTTATATTATATTTACATTATGTAAATATATAGAGTATATTTATATGTAAATATATAGAATATATGTAAATATATTATTTATATAAATCTTAAGATATAGGTATGGGCAATTTTGATTTTACAAACTTCTTCAGGGTTCTGTATATCCATTTGCATAAAGTTTTGATTGTATGCATTTTTATATGGGACACTGACTTATTTTTCATCCAATAAATGGTAAATTTCTATCCATTAGAGGATTTACCTTTGATTTCATTTTGGTGATACTTTAAATCATAGGTCAGCTATTAGAAAACCAATTACAAATTACAACGTGGTAACTAAATGATATTTACTAAAGCAAAGCATATCAATTGATATTTTTAAGTTATATGTTAGCATACGCGCACACACACACACACGCGCACGCGATAGGATCCAGATTGATGCCCTAATAAAGTAACAAGTTAGTTAAAGATGAAGTGAATTTATAAACATACCGTTATATAAAACTGTCTAGATAGAACAAACAAATATCACTTGTGATGAAATACTTGAAATTTAGTTCACCACATGCACTGTTGCCATCATTTTTTTTTATGAGAGGATTCAGCTATTGTATCGAGTGTTTGCAAGCGTGAATTCAGAATCTTGGTAGGAAAAAGGTAAAAGACAAATTGCTATCTTCTGAAAGGAGGTGTGAATTGTTCATATGTGCAGATTTTACATTAACGAGAAACCTTAACTTTCTCAAAAGAAGAAAGGCATTTCTAACAATGTTACGTATAACATATTTTTGTTCTTCTGAAAACTTGTGTTTCATTTTCTTTTAGGAAAAAAAAAAGATCAGACTCTTAGGCCAATTTTTCAGACTCTTCTGTAGATTACTTGAGCAGATATGAAATCAATAAGACCTTAGGTAAACAGTATGGTACATATTTTTTTTAAGTCTCTGATACATTGAGTCTCAAAATATGTTGCACATTAACCGAAGACATGTTTGTAGAATTCATAGCACTTATTATATCTTGATTATACTGAAACATTTTTAACTTTGACAATTATAAATCCATCTTGCAGTTTCTCCAAATTCATTTTATTTTAATTAGCTATGATTTGACATCATAGTCCATTATACACTTACTTGACTAAGTCTATGCTATCAGTTTTTCTACAACCACCACTTCCTATCAGTAAATAATTGAAAGGCTTTATTCTTATAAAGCACAATTATGTTTGCTTGATCAGTAGTCTTCAACTATATCTGCTCATGTGTCCCCTAAAATAATTGAGAAAAATAGTATAAAATCAATAACTTTTGAATTCAATACATTCAAGCAATGATGTCATTATATATGTGGTTCATCTTCCTGACACACGGGAGATGTTTCTCTTAGACCTCAGTGCCAGAACAGTATAATTTCAGAGCAACAATACTATTTTCTTGGAATATAAGTGGGAAGCTCACAACTATTCATATTTCTCTCTTTGTCAAGAAAAGTTATAAGGTTTAACACAATTATGAAAGCCAGAAAACAAATGTATTTTTGTAGCACTTTTGTAGAAACTCCTGGCTTTATGTTACTGTCTCTCACTTTCCAATAATGCTTTTTTTAAATAATGGAATTTGTTATGTGTTTCTGCAAATTGCATGATATCCTTTGTGAATGAAGTAGATACTAATTAACTATTTCTAAACAGACCGCTACAATACAGTGTGAAAAGTTTTACCATAACTGAAAATGTGTTAATAAAGAAGTGGCTACAGGCTGTGTCTCATACACTGTAATTCTTTTCAGTAGCCTTGCATCTCTAATTGATTTTGCAGTACTAAGGCCTTCATTTCTTCTGTTACATTCCAATATTCTTTTCTCTTGTTTTATCTTTAGCATTAATAGATATGAAGAAAAAAACTATCCTGTACTTTAACTAGATTCAGACGCTATTTCCTTTTGTTCATTAATCCTACTTAAACTCTCTATAGTGTGTATTTTAAAAAATGTTTGTACATGCTTTTTGGAAAAGTGCTATATATCCAGCTAATCATTTCTATATACAGTTAAAAAGTAGAGGTAACAGTGCTTATTTCTTTATTTATATATTTAGAGGCGGAGTTTTGCTCTTGTTGCCTAGGCTGGAGTGCAATGGCACGATCTTGGCTCACTGCAACCTCCGCCTCCCAGGTTCAAGGGATTCTCCCACCTCAGCCTCCCAAGTAGTTGGGATTACAGGTGCCTGCCACCACACCCAGTTTATTTTTTGTATTTTTAGTAGAGATGGGGTTTCCCCACATTGGCCATGCTGGTCTCGAACTCCTGACGTCAGGCGATTCACCCACCTTGGCCTCCCAAAGTGCTGGGATTACAGGTGTAAGCCACCATGTCCAGTCAGTGCTTATTTTAAAATGAAACATCAGGAACATTTTGAAAAACATTTTTGCATAAAGTATCAGGGCTATGTTTTTGTTCTTGATACCAATTGCCAGCTGATTGCATTATTGTGTTTAAAATTATCCTGGGGCATAAATTTATCCAGAGTCTGATCTAATTAATTTCAGGCTCCTTTGCAGATAGTTTTAGGGACCAATCATCTCTGAGATTTTTTGTGAACACAGGAGGGCTCTTCTTGATTTTCTCTTTACCTGATTATCTATGGTGAATGAATAGCTGACCCACAGTTTAGCTTGATACTCTCATGGAGCTACTATCCTCTCTTAATCTCACTTCCAAAATCTCTATTATTATTCAGAGTGCCTTCAAGTTTAACCTTCCCCACACTTTATTCCAAACAAGTGAGTTCCTTTCAGGAGAGCTTTGGAGCTCTGTTCTTATGGACTGCCTACTCCATGGGCAAAATTCCTGTGTCTCCCTGCTCTGTAGTTGGCTCCTGGACAGTGGTCTACTTCTCTCAGAGTGATACTTTGGCTTTACGGGCAGGGTACTCGGTGGAGTGATAACATCTGGTCTTCCTCTTATAGCTTGAAACTTTCCTCTTATAGCATGAAACTTTTGCCCTTTGAGTGAGTAGAGGCAAGGGTGATCGGGGCCCGCCCATTCGTTTTCTTGGCTTGCCATACCTGGAGTAGAGCTTTCACCATAGAAGTGGGGGGTCAGACAAAGGAATAAAGCCTAGACCTCTCAGCCATTGTTGCCTGGAAGAGATTCTGAAACAGAGATTTGGGAATGGGGGCTGAGAAACACTGGTGCTCTGCCCTTGAAGAGAAGATACCACCTCTCTTGACTAGGAATGGACGGATAGGGAGCCCTATTGTTCTTGGCTGCACCCATCTGGAGTGGCGCTTCTCTCATGCTCAGCTGTGGGTGAGCTGTGGGTGTTTGTGGCTCAAATTCCACAGACTCTTGCTGCTCTTGCTAAGATTTAGCAGAATTTCTAAAATAAATGTTTCTTCCTTTACTGTCTGCTCTTAGGACAATTTCCAGATATTACCCTTTTTTTTTTTTTTTGGTATAACCTTCACCACTTATGGTTGTTTTGCTGTGGAGAAGGTCCACAGATTCTAGATTCTGCCATCATTCTAGAAACCATCTCTTTGCTGCCTACATTATTAACATCATTTATTGTATCTTGTTTAAATGAATACATATATTTATGTGTCAGTAATTGGGCCAGATACTAAGAGGAAAAAGATGACTTTGTCATGAGTGTGCCTTGCGAGAAGCACAAGTTTAAACTGGAAAAATGTAAACAATATTATCATTTGTGTAAAATACAAAATGATGTGAGTACATAATATCATTGTGAAAGATATCTATGCATAACAAGATAAACACTGGGTGATAACTTTAGTGTGGAATACTCCTTTGAAGAAATCAAAATATGGGGATATTTATGTTTATTGGAAATAAGGTGAAATAACTTTACTAATATGTTATTTTCTGGAAATAGGTGAAAGTCTACATCATTCTATGGTTCCCTTATTTTAACCTGTAATGTCAGCTCAATTTCTATTTTATGAAATGCAGATATGAATTAATCAGCTTTTATTTTATAATAGTAAGAAAATATATAGATTTTAAACATTGTTCTAATAGAAATTGCTATTTTTAACAACTTAAAATTTATTTCATAAATGTAAGCCCAAAATATCAGCACAAAAGAAATGTCAAACTTGATTTACCCATTCCATTCTTTGGAAAACCTAGATTTTCTATCCTACAGAATGTACCTTCAGCACTTTTCTCAGTCTGTTTTAAAATAACCTCTGTGACTGAGCTTCTACCACAGTCTCAGGAACCTGTTCCATAATTCATTTATTGTTCAGAGTCAGGAAATCGCTTCAGATATTCAACTCAAATTTCCGTTACCATTATGAAAATAACTTTCCTCTATTAGGATATTTTATATTTATCCTATTCACTGCCTCTAAGTTTTTCCCATGCCACACAAACATGTATGTCACAAATATTTATATATTTGTGTGATTTAAGATATTAAAAATCTAAAATACAACATTTAAAAAACCGAATCTACAGTATTGGGTAATATTTTTGGTTATAGAAAGCAATCACAGAATTTTCACATTGGACTCTTTTGCATGAGGATTTAGGGTTCTTAATTTGATAAGCCAGACAAATTATTATCAATATTATTTACAAAGATGAAAAAAAAACCTCAGGAAGGCCCAATTGTTTGCAGTAGCTATAAAAATGGCCTAAATTATCTTAAACTGCATAAACAGGTTATAATATTGTGATAATATGCAGTAACTGACTCTTTGTGTATTTTACTACTAGGGCTATATTTGAAGTCTAGTGCTCAGATATTTGATGAAGGCTCTTACAATATTCTTGTTGAGAAGATCTCCATTTGGGAGTGCAGACAATGCAGTATAAGCTGGATTATGTTATGTTGTAAAATTTTATTTTTAATGTGTATAAATTTATGTACTTGTATAGCCATATAAGGAAATTTTATTTATATTTAATTTTTAACGTTCTGTTCTTACTACTGACTTGAATGAAGACAAAGAGCATTTTTATTATGTGTGTAAAACATGGTCCATTTTGAAAGGATATTGATTATGATGGCTAAAAACTCAAGACTCAAAATAATTTTTACAAGCTAAAGAAAATAACCTTACCAATATAAATAATTTGTATTAAACATTACAAAATATACTAAATTAAAAGGATGAGTTATTACCTTTTATTATTTTTATAACATACATCATACTTTCTGAATATATTTCATTCTTAAATGTATGCCTTTGTTAGTTCTAAACACTAGAAATGAAGGTATTTATCAAATTGTTTATGTCATTTTCAGTGTCTTCTGTAATATGGGATTATTGTATTAAATCACTTATTTAATTCATTTATAAAAATGTTAGTAAACTGCTTATTCAGAATCAGTCATTTCTGTTAGAAGATAAAAGTAATGGTTAAACTGAAAGGCCTTTTATTTTTTTCCACTATATTGAGGTAATTTTAACTATTCATTGAGATAAGAGATATTAACTAATGACTTTGATGAAATGAAACAAATGACTAGTTAAGGTAGACTCTATAGTCAAAAACTAAATAGATCATTTAAATTACAGAACTGCTTTAAACTAATCGGATATTTTATTGTACCCTGAGAGTTTATTATAAAAATTTAGATAGGCAAAAGCCCCATCTGGCAACCGTGTTACTACAAGCTAAGTACAGAGAATCTTGCTGCCAGCAGAGGCATTTCATGCTTCATGTCTGGAAAAAAAAAAAAAAAAAAAAAAAAAAGCTATAATTTAGTTGTGTACGCTTGTTCAGATGATTTCAAGTTGGTGCTTTTGATAGTGCAAGTTCCAGCTGCTCAGGCCTATGAGTCCTCTTGTGAAAAATTATGAAATCCCAGCCAAGTTAACTGCAGTCGTTTGATAGATCTCATGTATATTGGTAGGAATTGCTGTACGTTGCTGTCTTTAGAGCTAATGTTGTTTTAAAATAAGAACTATTTAAAATCATTAAGAAGAAAATCTGAGGCAAATATTTGACATTTTGTATGCATTAAATGGCTCTGTCATTTTTGAAGGTATTTTGCTAGACTAAATGAGATGTGCAAAATGCCTGTTATAATATGGATCTTTTGGAATTTAAAAGCATCTACCCAATTTGAAATGTGTACTCCATGTAGGCTATAGCTCCTTTAATGCTGAAAATATCTTCCCCAATTAACTTAATTAACTGGAAACTGTCACTGTTGGCACTGCACTGGCATAGCCAAATACTTAAAAATGTGAAATTATTCTTGCTAGAATAAGAAGTGGCTTGAAGGGTAACCAGGAATGTACTTAGGGGCTAGTTAACAGTATCAAGCCTAAGAGAAATTTACATTTACAGAGAAACATCATTTACTCCATCATCATCATGAACAGTGGTAACTGATGTGAGATCAGGTGAAGGAGCACGTTATTTGCAATAGGAAACATATATTGAGTGTTCTTGTGAAGTAAGAGGCATGAAGTACGACTACAGGGAATATTGTGGGGTGCAGGCAGCTGAGGGTAATTCTTTGCTTTAAAGGATTTCATGCAGAGAAAAATGACTCTAGATTCTGTGCCATGCCCAAGGAAGAAGCTGGATTTCATCCCAGTGCTTGTTCAAAAAATAAATGTAAAACGCACAACACGTCTACTTTGAAAGCACTAAATAGAAAAAATTTAAAATATAAATTTAAGTACTTGAAGTGAAATACTCAAAAGATTTCATGTACCATTAAATGAAAATAATGTAGCCCTACTTATGTCTCAATAGAATCTCAATTGTAGGAGAAATAAAATTATATGAGTAAAGAAAATGAGATGTGAAATAGGTAGTAAATGGTGAATATTCATTTTAAACTGTATCTTTTTATAAATTATTTGATTATAGGGGATTCTCTTTTACTTTCTTCTTCTATGATTACTTTTTGTAATATCTATAACTAGAATGCCAATGATTGCTGAGTGTTAAAAGAAATTCAAACATATGATTAATGTTTGGAGTAAAGAGTAATTAATGCCCATAAGCATTTTTTCAATTTTAAATTTTAGCTAAGTACAGTTCAACAATATTTATGTAGCATCTCTAATGTACCTGCACTACACTCTACCTTCACAAAAATGAATCGAGCATAGTTGTGGTGTGTGGTGAGTGTCCAGCATACTGTGGCACCACAAAGAAGGAAAACAGTTCAAACTGACAGTTTAGAGGAAACTTCCTGCAACAGCTGCCACATTAAAGATGAAATAGATGAATAAAAAATAAATAAGTTAAATGATTAATTAAATGACCTAAAACGTTTAAAGCATTTTGCCACACATTATTTCTTTTTTTTTTTTTTCATCGGACTCTTATGGGAATTCCAGATGCTTCACAGGATATTTTTCTCATTTTGCAAATGAGAAAATTGATAGTAATGCAGTGAACACTCTTGTCTAATGTTCATATAATCCAGTGTACAACTAGTGTATTAAAGAGCATAACTCAAAGCCAGGTAATAATCTTGCTCTAAGTATATTCTCCCTCCTTCCCATCCCCCATCAATCTGCTTGTTAAACTCGATAAAAGCTGTCATGTAATAGGCAGTAAGTCAGCTGCCTATTGACTTGTCATACAGGTAAGATCTTTTGGTATGATGGTTTTGGTGCATATTTCCTATCTGTGGAGACTGTCACTGTTTAGAGTTTGGCATTTAATTTTCACAAGATACTGCATAGTTATCTCAGAGTTTATAAAGTACCTTTAAAACATGGTTTATGCAGATAAGTTGTTATTACTGTTTTTCCCAGGCCGATTTCTTATGTTTAATACTCAGTGTAGTTGGGCAGCTCATTAAAGCCAACTGGACAAGGTCCTATGAAACTAGGCCACTAGGCAGTTTCCAGGGTAGCAAAGTATAGTTCCTTTCCAATGAGTAAAGCAATAGGTGCAGATCGTGAAAGGAAATATCTGGGCCATGTCCTGTTCACCTCTCAGGTTGCTTGCTCAGCTGTAAGCTTTGGTGCAATGCTATACAGATTCAACATATATTCTCGTCTATCCTTTATTACTCCAAACTCTTATGGTTACTAAGGCACTCATTTTATAACACAATGGGATATAAAATAAATAAGAATTATTTGCCAGAAGTAATTCCTGCCTTAAATTGGACAACTCAGATGAATTCTAAATGCTTATTTTTGTGAGAAAATAGTATTTGTCCAAATAAAAAATTAAGATTTACCATTTAATTAATGTATATTCAATATTCTAATTAATCAATCCTCCTCTTTTTCTATTTTTGTCTCCTTCCAAACAAATTTTTATATTTAATTTAGCACTGAGTAGTCATACATAATATTTAATTGGCAGACTACCTTTATTTTTAAAGGCAAATATTATTCATTTAACACATTCTCTTTGTTTAAATGTCAACTACTCATCTCCCAGTTAGTTATCTTGCTTACCTTCATCTTGAATATTTCCATTTTCAGATTTCTTAATCTTATGCAACTTACTTCATAAAGTCCTAATTCATGTGTTGGATTAAGGAGAAAACATGAATAAATTAATTTTTGAACATAAATAATATGTATATTATTATTTTTGTCACCACATAATGCCTTCTATTGATTAAGTTCCCAATACCTATATTTTTGTATTGAATCCAGGTCCAGTTTAAAAAACTGAACTCTTTTATTTTCAATAGAGAAAATACTTACATATGGAAGATATTCTGTCTTTATCAGCTCTGCTTGATACATAATTGACTAATGTTAGAAATGTTTTCAAAGGAAGAATTCCTACTGCAAATATCCATGGCTTAATAAATCTGGCATGTATTGTTCATATACAGCCGGTTAATTGGTGTCCTGACACATAGCTTCTGCATAATTCCTTCAGGTGTTAGTTCATTGTCCAGATGATTTAATATCTTTGAGTATCATTCGGTCTCATCCCTACTTTAAAATAACTGGAATTATTAGATCTGCTACTAGATGATGCTATAGGAGATATTTACATAGAATAATATATGTTACTGTATCACAAATTTGTGTTTTAAAAATGTTTGTGATAACTGTAGTTCAATGTAATTGGGTGTTTTTTGCAACCCTACACATTTTCACTGGAATGCCCAAGGGATCTATGGAACAAAGAAAGGTCAAGAACCCCTATTTTAAAATTGCCAATAACAAGCTAACGTTCACACATCACCCCCAATTCATTCTTATCCTTAACTATTTTTTTAATTATGCTTAATGCCTATGGTTTCCCTACAGAAGAGAAACAGAAAACAACAGTTTTTTTCTTAATATGTGAATAGAATGTACTTCTATATTTATTCAGTCTTTACTTCCAAATATGCTAATTACTAAGCTTAATAAGTAATTGCATAGTTTTATCTGAATGAATTTTAGGGCATTAAATAATTCACACATTTTAAAATATACTGGCTTTAATATTTAAATCTTGAATACACTGGTTTTGATTTTGTCCTATGTTAAAGATGTCAGTATTGATAATGAACTCCTGAAAGTTCAATATTGTGATTTTCAAAGTGTGCTCATCAGCTCCTATAAACCACAAAATACATAGATTAAAGTAATCTCTGGATACCACATCTATAAAACATGGTCTTGTGGTCTTATTAGCAAAGTGCTAGACAAAGTAGCGATATGAAGTTTCTTTCGACTCTGAGAACAGGTATTATATTCTATATAATGCCAACATATATGTATGTATAATAAGGATGAATATTTATATTTATTCTTAATATATCACTTTTAGTATGATACATATTTTTACACAAACAAATTGAAATTGAATTTGAAGTCTTCCAGTGGAACGTACCTAACATATTCAAATAAAGTAAAATCTCAAGTCCTGGTAAGTGTTTCTTCATCCCCATCACCAACTCCATTACTGGTATTTGGTATTAGGTACATATCCACTCCTCTTCTGGCTTCTGGCTCTGGGACATACCCAGCTGGCATAATTGGTAGTGTGGAGAAGGGAGACAAATAGTCTTCCTACAAACCAGAAGAGGTTCTTAAGAGGCATTCCACCTTTCCAACCACTGTGACATTGAGATGGCTTACAGTAATCTCATGCTCAGTTAAAAATGACAAAAATATTTCTCAACACTAAAATGATTCTCAAAGCCTTCTCATTTCTTGTATATACAAAGACTCAGAGACTTGCATACACAGATAAATTTATCATCTCTTACAGAATCTTCTCAACTGATATTCTTGCTTTTTGATTTCTATCAGAAACAACCATTTCCCTTGCTATTATTGATTAGTTATAAAATGCCATCCTTTCACCATATAGTCCAGATACTATTAATAACTTCTTGTTGGCTCCAGGACAAATTCAACATTAGTAGCATAGTTATCAAATCCTTGGTAGTAATGACTATGAAGAGCACCAATAAATAGCATGCTTCTTCCCTATACAGGTTCTAAAAAATTAAAATATCTGAAAAGGTCTTAATAAAATGTGACTTTTATTAATGATAAAGATGAAGTTGGAAGATACAGCTTATTAAGAGGGCAAAATTGCCCTGTTAATTGAATCAGAGAATCAGGCAGATTTAGCCAATATGACACAGGGTATTTTTGTCCTTTGGGAGAAAAAATTCCACATCATCAAAATAAACTAGTAAGTGAATAAGAAAATAAGTAAGTAAGTAAGTAAATAAATAAATATTTTAAAGCCTTAAAAGACATAACATCACATTCTGAATTTACTGCCAATTTTAAGAAGTCTTTATTTTTATAGAGGATTTGCCATAAATACATACAATTTTTCCTTTAAATTAATGCTAAACTATTGTTTCAATGAAGTGTTATCGAGTGCTTACTATGTTCAAAGCATTAGCCTAGGTTTTAATGGAGAAACAAAGACCAGGAACATCTCTGTCCTCGCTTAATTCATAATCTAGTGGGTAAGATGAACACATAAATAAAACCCACAATAACCCAAAACCTCTTGAATTATGCTAAATATCAGAAATGCTATTACAGGTTAATGATGTGCTACACCAATAGGTGGGAAGAAAAGTTAATTTTCTGTTCAGCAACAGATCCTGCTTAAAAGAAATATGTTAAAATAAATTATAATTAAGATGAAGCCTGTTTCTGTACTTATCTTGATAAACCTAACATAAAGATAATATACACTGTTTATTAAAACAAACAAAATTATTAAAACATATCTCCAGAAATATTTTGCAACTTAAAACTTTGGTAATGATTTAATTATGACACTTCATCCGATAATGCAGTACTCATAATTTTTATTAAATATACATGATCCAATAACCATTAGACTCTGAAAGCTCCTTTGAAACTAGACCTTGGCTCAGAAAAAAAAATACATATTAGGAATTTAACAAAATGTTTTCTGAAAAATAACTTTTCACTTCTCCTTAAGAAACGTCCAT
Source organism: Homo sapiens (assembly GCF_000001405.40). Taxonomy (NCBI): domain Eukaryota; kingdom Metazoa; phylum Chordata; class Mammalia; order Primates; family Hominidae; genus Homo; species Homo sapiens. The sequence goes on from NC_000002.12 coordinate 154,097,770, forward strand.
TACTAGAATGTGAAAGACAAAACAAATATTTTCATTTTACAGCATAAGAAAGAGCAATAACCCCAGTAAATTTTTTCATTTCCCTCAGTTTCTTCATTAGCAGTTTCTTTACCATGTGTAATTTAAAAATAGGAAGGTAACCTAAGGATAACAACTAATTTAATCCTGCATTTTTAAAGCTGAGAAATCTGGTGCTCAGAGGGAGTCACAGCTAGTCAGTGGCAGACTGGAGACGTGACCAAACTCTGGAGTCTCCCTTGAGTTCCCTTCCTAGGAGGCAGTGGTGCTCTAGGGCTCAGTGTGTTTCTCTGCTTGTCTTTCTTTTTTTTTTTTTTTTGTCAGCAGTTTTAAATTTGAATCTTAATGTATCTGGAATGTGGTCAAACATTATTAAATATTTTGAACGGCACTGACCTGCCATTACCATATGATGATGTTACCAGCTGAGTGATAATTCAGATTTGGCACATGGTTATGAGGTTAACATCTCAAGATACGACATGTAAACTAAGGTGTGTTTTATCCCCTGATTATCTCCCTCCTCCTTCTATTATAAAACCTTTTGAATGGATTATTTTTTTTTCTTCGTACTCTTTTCTTACCTTTTAAGTTGACTTTATTCAACTTCTAGAACTTGTTTAAGCCCTCTTATTTTTCAATGAAAATGGTTTTGTTTACTTATTTTTAGTATTATTTTATATTTGGGGGTACATGTGCATGTTTATTACATGGATATATTATGTAATGGTGAGATTTGAGCTTCTAGTGTACCCATCTACAATAGTGAGCATTGTACCCAATAGGTAATTTTTCAACCCTTATAGGTACTTTTCAGTACCTATTATTTCTGTCTTTATGTTTATGTGTACCCATTGTTTAGCTTCACTTATAGGTGAGATCATGTGGTATTTGATTTTGCGTTTGAGATATTCCACTTAGGATAATGACTTTCATTTCCATCCATGTTGCTGCAAAGGACATGATTTTCTTTTTTATTTCTGTGTAGTGTTCCATGGGGTATATATACCACATTTTCTTCATCCAGTAATCCCTTGAAGGACAGGTTGATTCCATGACTTTGGTGTTGTGAGTAGCGCTGTGATAAACAAATTAGTGCAGGTGTCTTTATGTATATAATGATTTTTTTTTTCCTTTGGGTAGATACACAGTAGTGGAGTTGCTGAGTCAAATGGAAGTTCTCTTTTTAGTTCTTTGAGAAATCTCCATGCCGTTTCCCATAGAGGTTATGCCAATTTACATTCCCACCTACAATGAAAAGTATCCCATTTTCTCTGCATTCATACCAACATCTGTTGCTTTTTGACTTTTTAATAATAGCTGTTCTGACTGGTGTAATATGTATTTTATTGTGGTTTTAATTTGCATTTGTCTAACAATTAGTGATGTTGAGCATTTTCTCATTTTTATTGGCTGCTTGCATGTCTTACTTTGAGAAATGTTGGTTTATGTTCTTTGCCTACTTGTTAACGGGATTATTTGTTTTTTCTTGTTGAGTTATTTTAGTTGCTTGGAAATTCTGGATATTACTCTTTAGTCAGAGGCATAATTTGCAAATATTTTCTCCTATTCTGTAGATTGTCAGTTTACTCTGCTGATTATTTCTTTTGCTGTGCAGAAGCATTTTAGTTTACTTAAGTCCCATCTGTCTATTTCTGCTTTTGTTGCTTGTGCTATCAAGGTCTTCATCGTAAATTATTTACCTAGTCCAACACCCAGAAGAGTTTTTCCTAGGCTTTCTTCTAAGATTTTTAGTTTCAGGTCTTACCATTAAGCCCTTAATCCATCTTGGTTAATTTTTGTGTATGGTGAGTAACAGGGGTCAACTTTTGTTCTTCTGCATATGGCTAGCCAATTTTCCCAGCACCGGTCAGGCACGGAGGCTCATACCTGTAATACCAGCACTTTGGGAAGCCAAAGCAAGAGGATTGCTTGAGCCCAAAAGTTCAAGACCAGCTCAGGAAACACAGTGAAACCCTCTCTCTACAAAAAATTTTAAGAAATTAGGCAAGCATGATGATTCATGCCTGTGGTCCCAGCTGCAAGGGGAGCTGAGACTAGAGAATCACTTGAGCCTGGTAGGTTGAGGCTGCAGTGAGCTGTGTTTTCCACTGCACTCCAGCCTGGGCAACAGAGTGAGACCTTCAAAAAAATTCCAGCACCATTAATTGAGAAGGGAGTTTTTGCCCCATTGTTTATTTTTGTTGACTTTGTTGAAGAGCAGTTAGCTATAGTTATGTGGCTTTATTTCTGGGTTCTTTATTCCATTTCATTGATCTCTGTCTCTTTTTGTACCAATACCATGCAGTTTTGGTAACTATAGCCTTGAAATATAATTTTAACTCAAGGAATTATATGCCTCTAGCTTTTTTCTTTTTTCTTAAAATTTCTTTGGCCATTTGGGCACATTTTTGGTTCCATATGAATTTTAGGATTGTTTTCCCAACTTCTGTGAAAAATGGCATTGGTAATTGGATATGAATTTAATTGAATCTGTAGATTTCTTTGGGCAGTGTGGTCATTTTAATATTGATTCTTGAAATCTTTGAGGATGGGATGTTTATCCATTTGTTTATATCATCTATGATTTCTTTCAGCAGTACTTCGTAGTTCTCCTTGTAGAGATTATTCACTTCCTTGGTTAAATATATTCCTAGGTATTTTATTTTATTGTCAGCTATTGTAAATGAGATTGAGTTTTGAATTTGGTTGGTAGCTTGAATGTTATTAGTGTACAGAAATGCTGCTGATTTTTGTATGTTGATTTTGTACCCTGAAACTTTACTGTAGTCGTTTATCTAGTCAGGAGTCCTTTGGAGGAGTCTTTTGGGTTTCTAGGTATAAGTTCATGTTGTAAGTGAAGAGAGATAATTTCACTTGCCGTTTTCCAATATGAATGCCTTTTATTTCTTTCTCTTACCTGATTGCTCTGGTTAGGAATTCCAGTACTGTGTTGAATAGGAGAGGTGAAAGTGGGCCTTTTTGTCTCTTTCCAGTTCGTAGGGGGAAAGTTTTCAACCTTTCCCCATTCGGTCTGATACTGGCTGTGGGTTTGTGATACATGGCTGCTAATATTTTGAGGTATTTTCTTTCCATGCCTAGTTTGTTGAGAGTTTTTATTTATGAGAGGATGTTGGAGTTTATCAAGTGATTTTTTTTATATCTATTGAGGTGGTTGTATGGTTTTTGTTTCTAATCTTATTTATGTTGTGAATCACGTTCATTGATTTGTGTATGCTGAACCACCCTTGCATCGTGCAGTAGAAGCAAATTGATCAGGATGAATTATCTTTTCCATGTGTTGTTAGATTCTGTTTGCTAGTATTTTGGTGAGGATTTTTGCATCTGTGTTTATCAGGGATATTTTTGTTGTTGTTGTTGTTGTTGTTGTATCCTTCCCTGATTTTGGCATCATGGTGATACTGGATTTGCAGACTGAGTTAGGAAGGAATGTTTCCTCCTCAATTTTTTTGGAATAGTTTCAGTAAGATTGGTACCCGTTCTTTTTGGTTGTAATAATTTTATTACAAGTTCAATTTTAATGCTCATTCTTGCTCTTTTTAAGGTTTCTATTCCTTCTTTATTCTATCTAGGAAGGCGGTATGTTTATAAGAATGTATCCATTTCTTTAAGTTTTCTAGTTTGTGCACATGGAAATGTTCATAGTAGTCTTTCATGATGTTTTGTATTTCCGTGGTATCAACTGCACTGTTATTTTTGTCATTTTTGATTGCGCTTATTTGAATTTTGTCTCTTTTATCTGTAGTTAATCTAGCTTGTAGTCTATTGATTTTGCTTATCCTTTCAAAAATTAACTTTCAATTTCATTAATCTTAGTATCATTTCTTTATTCTCAATCTTATTTAATTTTGATCTGATCTTTGTTACTCCTTGTCTTTTCTTAGCTTGGTTTTGGTTTGTTCTTGTTTTCTGTTTTCTTGAGGTGTGACATTAAATTATTAATTTGATATCTTTCTTTTTGGTGTAGACATTTAATGCTGTAAATTCTTAGTATTGCTTTTGCTGTATCCCAGAGGTTTTGATATGTTGTTTCTCTATTTTTACTCATTTCAAAAGATGTTTTGATATCCACTTTAATTTCCTTGTTCACCCAAAAGTAATTCAGGAGCAAGTTGTTTAGGTTCTGTGTACTTTTTTGAATTTTAAGAGTTCCTCTTGGTGTTGATTTCTCATTTTAGTTCACCCTGCTTCAATAAGGTACTTGATATGATTTTGATTTTTTAAAATTTACCAAGACTTGCTTTATTGCCAGGTATATGGTCAATTTTGAAAACTGTTACACAGATGACAAAAATGTTTATTCTGCAGTTTTGGGGTAGAATGCTTTATAAATGTCCATTAATTAGTTCCATTTGGTCTAAAGTGCAGTTTAAATCCAGAATTTCTTTGTTGATTTTCTATCTCTCTATGATAATCTATCTGGATATCCCCCTTCTACAACCACAGCTAGTGCTCTCTTGAAAGCACCACCGCCTGGCTGGAGGTCAACCAACTCAATCCATTATAGCAACTCAGAAGAGAACAACCCTGCTCCAAAGAAGGAGAAAACAATAGCTAATTCCACTGCCAGTAACACCCTGGCTAACCAGAGGTCCTGAGTCTGACTACGTGACAACTTTAGTGCTAGCATAATTAGCATTTAAGAAAACCAGTGCACTAAACATGAGGACACAAAGGCATGAGAATAGTATAATGGACTCTGGAGACTTGGGTAAAATCGTGGGAGTGGGGTGAGGGATAAAATGCTACCCACTGGGTGCAGTGTACACTGTCTGGTGATGGGTGCACCAAAATCTCAGAAATCACCACTAAAGAACTTATCCAAACATCGTAACCAAACATGACGTGTTCCCCAAAGAACTATTAAAATTAAAAAAGACTAAATATTGATTTAACAAAAAAAAATCCAGTGAGATTAGTGAAGTGTTGAAATCTCCCCCTAATATTGTCTTGCTGTCTCTTTTCTTAAGTTTCGTAATATTTGTTTTATGAATCTGAGTGCTTGGGTATAGAGTGCGTATGTATCTAGGATAGTTAAAGCTTGTTGCATTGAATGCTTTATTGTTTTATAATGCCAGTTTAGTATTTTTATACTGTTGTTTGCTTAAAGTCTGTTTTATCTAATATAATAATAGGTACTGCTGTTTGCTTTGGTTTTCCATTTCTGATTATTGCCTTGTTGATGTTTCTTTTGTATAGTATTTTCCAGGTGTTCTCTGTCTTTCTTGTATATGATGTCTATATCTCTAGCAAGATCAAGTATTTTTTTTTCATTATTCCTTCAAATATATTTTTCAAATTTCTTTTTCTTATTATCCCTCAGGAATGCCTGTAAGTCATAGGTTTGATCACACTACATAATCCTCCAAGGCTTTGTTCATTAAAAATATTTTTTCTCTATTTTTGTATGACTGGCTCATTTCAAAAGACTGGTCTTCAAGTTCTTAAATTATTTCTTCTGCCTTTTCTAATCTATTGTGAAAGCTTTGAACTGTATTTTGAAATTCCTATAGTGAATTTTCCATTTACAGAAATTGTTTTTTAAAAAACATATCTGTCTCATCCTTTATATTATGAATTGATTCATTTATTATTTTGTGTTGGTTTTCCACTTTCTCTTGGATGTCTTGTGCTTTCTTATAGTCCATGTTGTCAATTCTTTATCATTTCAGAATTTATATTTTGGTTGGGATCCATTGATATACAGCTTGCATCATCATTGGAGATATTGAAACACTTTGTCTTTTTGTACTGCTGGAGTTCTTGGGCTGACTCTATTTCATCTGAAAAAGCAGTCACCTGTTTTTGAAATTGGTATTGATTTGATAGGACTTTTAAATTTATTATTCTTTTCTCCCCTGTGGATATCACTGTAGGGTATGTTATATATGAGCGTTTGGCATTGTTTCTAGGAGCTTTCAGAGAGCCAGTGTTCTGTTTGAGTTCCTTGGTTATTATCTTGTACAGTGGCTTTCTCAAATTCTGGTTGTTGTGGCAATGTATTTGGCGTATGAACCCACTCACCTGCTGTGGGAATGAGAGTGTGGATGTCTCACAAAGCTTCTTTCATACTCTAGCATGATTCCCTTCTGTCATCAGATTTTTTATTTTGTGTTCCCATTTGGTCTCCAGTTCAGTTGTAGGCAATAAAGATTGGGTAAACCAATGATGAGTGAAAGCACCCTCCCTGACCCCTGATTGGAGTAGAGTAGTGTGGGAAGTTCATGGTGAGATGTGCTGAGGCCCAGGTGCGGGAGGAGACTACACCAGCTTGGGTGCAGACGGACACATGATCCACTTCTCTATCATGCTCCTGTATAAGGGCTTGCCATCTTCCATTCACAGAGACACTGTCCTTTATCTTCAGGGCATGATGCAACTGAGTTCCATGGGGGTGGGGGGATGGTGGGGAGGGGTGTGGCGGGGAACCTATCTGGCAGCAGTAAAATGGCCAGGGGAAGAACCTCTTCAGTCAGTCCAAAACAGATAGATTTGCAGCTGGTCTGCCCTCCGATGCAAGGACACTTCTGCTGTGTGTAGAGAGGGAGAGGTGAGCCTTGCCCTCTGTGTGAGCACAGGCAGCGGACACACTTTTAATGAATGTGCAGCTATTGTGAATACCACTGGGAAGGTTGTTTTCAAGTGCAGTCATGCCAGCCTCCAGAGGGAAAAACCTTGGCTACATCCATAGCATGGACAGGGGAAGAGGGGGTGACCCTCCTTCACCTCCTTTTCCAGGCAGCCAGTGCTGCCTATCCTCTGGGACAAAACAATGCTCCCCTCTTTTGAAGACTTGGACTTTATCTGTGTTTCCTTTGTCTCAGGAGGTGCTTTGGCAGCTTGCCCTCTCATTTTCCATAGGAATGGCACATGCCATACACTAGATCTCCAGGTATCCCACAGCTCTCCGGGACCTACTAGTCCCTGTGTTTGCCAAAGTCAGAGTGTGTTCTAGGGTGTGTTTGTGGGAGATTTAGTGATGCAGTAACATAAAGGCTGAGATTCCCTGGTCAAAGCAGTGGCCCAGAATGGGTACACAACCAGTATGGCACACACTGCCTCAGTTCAGGCTGCCTCAGTTCAGGCTTGTGCAGAGTATAACCACACGTGTGCAAGCAGGCCATCTGGTGCTCTGCCCCCAAGAAGTTCTCAAACTGCCACAGTGTTGCCCAGACTTGTGAGGGCAGAGGGGCTCTCTGACAATTTGGTACTCAGTAGGCTGTTGCAGGGTGAAGGGGCCAAAGAATTACTTCCACCTACCCTTTTTGAGGGACTCCAGGTTCCTTGCGGATCAGTCTGCCATATTCTTGCTACCCTCCTTTTCTGCACCACAGATGCTTCTTGTGGGTTTTCCAACTGGTTTTGGCACTCTGCCCTCAGCTTTCCAGTAGGGCCGTGATTGTTCACCTATGATCTCGTATCTGATGGAGGAGAACTTGTATCTGATCTCTGTAGCTAGTGATTTTGAATAAAAACTACTTTTGAAAATAGTCATGTACCACATAAGGACATTTCAGTCAAGAATGGGCTGATTATATGACACTGGTCCCATTAGATTATAATACCATAGTTTTTCTGAAACTTTTATTATGATTAGATATGTTTATATACATAAATGCCATTTCTTACAATATCCTACAGTATTCAGTAAAGTAACATGCTTGTAGTAAAGTACAGGCTGGTAGTCTAGTTGCGACAGGTTATACCATATAGCCATGATGTGTAGTAGTCTATCCCACCTAGATTTATGTAAGTACACTCTATGATGTTCCTAGAATGATAAAATTGCCTAATGACACATTTGTCAGAATGCATACTCATTGTTAAGTGATGCATGACTGTATTTATAATAAACTTTGACAAAAATACAAGTTTGTTTGGACAACATTAGAGAATCAAGACAGTGCTATCCCTTAGAATATTTTGCGTTGATAGAAATGTCCTAAGACTTATATTGTCCAATACAGTAGCCCCTAGCCCCATGTGAATATTGAGTACTTGAAATGTGCAGTGAAGAGACTAAATTTTTATTTTATTTCAATTAATTTAAATTAAAATAGTTGTCTCTGACTAGTACCTACCGTAGCAGACAACAACTGGATAGCGTATTTCTGAAAATTAGCTGTGGCACTCATATAATCAGTAAGTCAAGGAAGCAAAAAAATGACAAACTAAGAGAAACTAAAGAGACTTATGTTAGTCTTTGTCACTCACTCAGCTCTCATTCTCCCCTTTCAGTGCTATTTTGATCATTCTTTGTATATTTTGGGTAGATGTCCTTTGTCAGATATAGGTTTTGCAGTTATGTCCTCACTGTCAGTGGCTTGTCTTTTTATTCTTTTAGCATGGTATTTTTGTAGTGCAGAAGTTTTTAATTGTGATAAAGTGCAACTTATTTCTTATTTCATGGATCATGCTTTTGTTGGTATATTTACAAACTCATAATCAAACCAAAAATCATGATGATTTTACCTTACTTTTTGAGAAGATTTTTAGTTTTGCATTTTTATATTTTAGTTTATGATGCATTTTGAATTCATTTGGTAAAACATGTCAGATCTTTATCTAGGTTTATTTTCTTTTGCATATGTATGTCCAAGTTCTCTAGCACCATTTGTGAAATGACTATCTTTTTTCCATTGAATTCATATTACTTCTTTGTAAAAAATCTGTTGAATATATTTACATGAGTATATTTGGGGTTCTATATTTCTTTCTTTTACCTATGTGTCTCTTCTGCCTAATACCAGAGTGTGTTGATTATTATAGATTTATAGATTATTACAGATTTATTATAGATTATTATAGATTTATAGATTATTATGATTATTATAGAAGTCAGGTAGTGTGAGTCTTACTTTTTTTCTTTAATGTTGTGTTCCTTTTTGTGGGCCTTTCCATGTAATCATTTTTAAATTTCCAGATGTTTTACTGTAAATTGATAATTTATAATTATATATATTTATGGGGTACAATGTGATGTTATGCTTCATAAGTTCAATGGGATACGTAAGTCAAGCTAGTTAACATATTACTCTGGTTTGGATATCTCTTTCAAACCTCATGTTGAAATTTGATCCCCAGTGTTTTAGGTGAGGACTAATGGAAGGTGTTTTGGTCAAGAATGCAGATCTGTCATGAATAGATTAATGTCTTCCATTAGAGAGTGAGTGAGTTCTCACTCTATTAGTTCCCAGGACAGCTGGTTTTTTTTGTTTTGTTTTGTTTTGTTTTTCCATCTTTTGATTCTTCTCTTACCATGTGACCTTTGCACATGTCTACTCCCCTTTGCCTTCGACTTTGAGTGGAAGCAGCCTAAGGCATCACCATAAGCTGAGCAGATGGTAACACCATGTATCTTGTGCAGCATACAGAACATGAACCTAATAAACCTCTTTTCTTTATAAATTATTCATCTTTAGGTATTTCTTTATAACAACATGAAATAGATTAAGACAAATATCTGTTAACTAAAACGCATTTGTTATGTTAAAAAATTGAAATAGCTGGGCACAGTGGCTCATGCCTGTGATCCCAGCACTTTGGGAGGCTGAGGTGGGCAGATCACGAGGTCAGATTGAGACCATCCTGGCCAACATGGTGAAACCTCGTCTCTATTAAAAATACAAAAATTAGCTGGGCGTAGTGGCGCGTGCGTGTAGTCCCAGCTACTTGGGAGGCTGAGGCAAGAGAATCACTTGAACCTAGGAGGTGGAGGTTGCAGTGAGCCGAGATCATGGAACTGCACTCCAGCTTGGCAACAGAGTGAGACTACATCACAAAAAAAAAAAAAAAAGAAAGAAAAGAAATATACTCTCTTATGAATTTCCAAATATGTAATACTCTATAATTAACCATATTTATCATGAGGTGCAATAGATATTTTTTAAAACCCACATATTCCTTCTGTTCATCTGAGATTTTCTACCCTTTGACCATCAACTCCAATTCCCTCCACGCTCCAATTTTTTTTTCCTGTAAAAGCACTCTGTTCTCTGCCTCTATGAGTTTTATTTCTATAGATTCCATATGTTAGAGAGAACATGTAGTAATTGTATATCTATGCCTGGCTTATTTTACTTAGCATAATGTTCTCCAATTTCATGTAGTCAAAAATGACAAAATTTATTTCCTTTTAAGCATGCATATTTTGTCATTGGGTATATATACCACATTTCTTTATTCATTTGTGTGTTGTTGTACACTTGGGTTGATTCCATGACTTGACTATTGTTAATAGTGCTGCAACATACATGGGGGTGCCGACATTCCTTTGACAAATTCAAATCTTTTGGATAAATACACAGAAGTGGGATTGCTTGATCACTTGTAATTCTATTTTTTGGTTTTTTTTTTCTTTTTTTGAGGAATCTCTGTAAAGTTTTCCATAATAGCTGTAATAATTTACATTCCCACCAAGAGCGTACAAGGGTTCCCTTTTCTCCACAACCCTGCAACACTTGTTATCTTTTAACTTTTTGGTAGTTGCCAATTCTGAAAGGTGTGAGATAATATCTTATTGTGGTTTTAATTTGCATTTTTCATGATTAATGATATTGAGTATTTTTTATATTTCTGTTTGCTATTTTTATTTCTTTTTTGTGAGATGTCAATTCAACTTTCTTGCCCATTTTTTTGTTTTTGTGCTGTTGAGTTCTTTCAATTTCTTACATATTTTAGATATTAAATCCTTCTCAGATGTGTGCCTTGCACAAATTAACAGTGTGATTTTCACACTGTTAATTGTCTTCTATGCTGTTCAGTAGCTTTTAAATGTGATGTAATCCTATTTGTCTATTTTTATTTGGTTGCCTGTGCTTTTGGGGTCAAATCCAAGAAAAATAATTGGCCAGCTCTTTCTTATGTAATTATTCCGTGATTTTTTTTTCTTCTTTTAGTTGAACAATTTCTGGTCTTATGTTTAAATCTTCTATCCATTTTAGGGTATGAGTTTTGTATACAGTATTAGGTAAGGATCCAATTTCATTTTTCTGCATGTGGATATTCAGCTTTTCCAACACTATTTATTGAAGAAACAGTTTCTTTCCATTGAGTATTCTTGGCATGTTTATTGAAAGGCAATAGATCATACGTGTGTGGGTTCATTTCTGGTGTTTTAATTATCATAGCTCTGTGGTATACAGAAGTTTGTAATTATGTAGTACAATAACTTCAGCTTTCTTTTTTTAACTCATGATTACCTTGGTTATTTGAGGGTTTTATTGGTTTCCTATGTAAATTAGGCTTAATTGTATTTATGTGAAATATGATATTAGAATTTTGATAGAGATCGCATTAAGTGTTTAGATCACTTTGGGTAGTATGTGCATTTTAATAATATTAACTCTTCCAATTCATGAACATGGAATATGTTTTCATATATTTGTGTCATCAATGTCTTTCATCAAAGTATTTTAAGTTTTAGTATACTGATTTTTCCTCTCCTTAATTATTTCTTGATTTCTTTTTTAGATAGTTTGTTCTTAGTGTCTATAAATGCTACTGATTTTTGCCTGTTGAATTTGTATCCTGTAGCTTTACAGTATTTACATATTATTTCTAACAATATTTTTGGTGGTCATTTCCTATACGTAAGATCATGTCATCAGCAAATATCAACAATTTTACTTCTTCCTTTTCTATTCAGATGACTTTTTTTTTTCTCTTATCTTATTGCTCTGGCAAGGGTTTAGAGTACTTTGTTTAATAGAGGTGGTAAGAGTGAGTATTATTGTCTTGTTCCAGATCTCAGAGGAAGGACTTCAATTATTCACCATTGAATATAAATGTTAGCTGTCAGCTTCTTACATATGGGCTTCACTGTTGTGTTGAAATGCATGTCTTCTATACCTAATTTAGTGAGGTTTTGGTGATGAAAGTTTGTTGAATTTTGTCAAATGCTTTTTCTACATTTAATGAAATAATCATATGGTTTTTGTTCTTTATTCTGTTAACATATTTATTGATGTGTGTGGGCTGAACCATCTTTGCATCCCATGGATAAATCTCACATAATCTTGGTGGATGATACTTTTAGTAAGTTGTTGATTTGGTTTACATTTGTTTTGATGATTATTTTTGCATCTGTATTCTTCAAGTATATTAGCCTCTAATTTGTGCACATGTGTGTCTGTTTTGTCCTTGTTCTGGCTTTAGTAGCAGACAGTTCTTGCCTCTTAAAAAGAGTTTGGATGTGTTCATTTCTTTTCAATTTTTTTGGAAGAGTTTGAGAAAGATAGATATTGTTTCTTCTTTAAATGTTTCGTAGAATTCAGCAGTGAAGGCATCATCAGGTTTTCTTTGCTGGATGAACTGATTCAATCTCATTTGTTATTGATATGTTTGCATTTTGTATGTCTTCATGATTTTGTCTTTTGTTGTTGTTGTTGTTGTTTTAGTTTTTATTTCCAAAGGTTTGGGGGAGCAGGTGTGGACTAGTGAGGGTTCTCTAGAGGGACAGAACTAATAGGATATATATATATATATATATATATATATATATATATATATATATATATATATATATATAGAGAGAGAGAGAGAGAGAGAGAGAGAGAGAGAGAGAGAGACAGAGAGAGAGAGAGAGAGAGAGACAGAGAGAGAGAGGAGTTTCTTAAGTATTAACTCACATGGTCACAAGGTCCCACAATAGGCCGTCTGCAAGCTGAGGAAGAAGGAGAGCCAGTCTGAGTCTCAAAATTGAAAAACTAGGAGTCCGATGTTCGAGGGCAGAAAGCATCGAGCACAGGAGAAATATGTAGGCTGAGAGACTAAGCCAGTCTAGTCTTTTGACATTTTTCTGCTGATTTTATATTCTAGCTGGCAGCTGATAAGATGGTGCCCACCCTGATTAAGGGTGGGTCTGCCTTCTCCAGCCCACTGACTCAAATGTTAATCTCCTTTGGCAACAACCTCACAGACACACCCAGGATCAATACTTTGCATCCTTCAATCCAATCAAGTAGACACTCAGTATTAACCATCACAAGTCCACGCCTTCTCAACGTGAACTCATACACATCTCCTGAGGTTATACATAATCTTCAAATAAAGACAAGAGTAAGGTCATAATTACTCCTAACATAATACCTTGTACATCCAGAAATGCATCAATCCGGAACCCAAATACTATTACATAAAGTTAGCAATACTTAAATACTGATATAAAGTCAATAAATCTTATGTCACATGATAAAGGAGAAAGAAAATGAAATGAAGATATTTTCGTAGTACAAGTATACACAAACATGTTTTTAACAAAAGAAGGAGGAAATACTCATGACAATTCCAGTCCTTGTTTCTTCAGCTGGTCATGTGTTCGTAGGTGGTATTGATGACTACCTTCTCCTACTACCCATTCTGTATTCTATTTGCCTTCAGCAAGTACCTCAGCAGGTCATGGTTTTTTTCCTGGTGGAGTGACCCAAACTTTCATTCTTGAAGGGTCTGGGACATTTGTAGTCCTGCCTGGATTGGGCTGTTGTAGTTTCCCATTGACCTTAATCACAGGGCATGGTAATATTAAGAGACACCCTGATAGATCTCCTATATATCATGCATATTCTTCCTTACCTCTGTTGTAGAGTAGTAAACTGATTTCATCTTGATAGTCCGGGTCAATCACCCCAGCCAACACTGTAACTCCCTTCTTGGCCTGTTGACCTAAAGGTAGGAGGAGCCCAAAGTGTCCAGGTGCCAATGTTAACTTCTAGTTTAATGGAATCATTGTGCTTCCTGGTGGCAGCATTCCTCCCTCTGGAACTAAGACCTCTAGGCCAGCAAAACGTAAGGTCACGGGAGCAGGAAGCAAAAATTTTGCTAGTAGATCACTAGAGGTGATGGTCAGTGGTCCCACTTCCACTTCCACCCCTTGATTCCTGGACCGATGAATCCTGGCTTTGGGAGAAAGAGCACCATATATTGGACGCTGATTCAGAGTATACACAGCCTTCTGGAGAACTTTGCCTCAGCCCTGCAAAGTATTGTCACCTAGTTGGCATTGTAATTGTGACTTCAAAAGGCCATTCCACTGTTCTATAAATCCAGGTGCTTCAGGATGATGGGAAACATGGTAAGACCAGTGAATTCCTTGAGCATGAGCCCACTGCCACAATTTTTTAGGCATAAAGTGAGTGCCTTGGTCAGAGGCATTGCTGTGTGGAATACCATGATGGTGGATAAGGCATTCCATGTGTCCAGGGATGGTAGCCTTGGCAGAAGCATTGCATGCAGGATAGGCAAACCCATATCTGGAGTAAGCATCTATTCTAGTGAGGACAAACCTCTGCCCTTTCCATGATGGAAGAGGTCCAATATAATCAACCCACCACCAGGTAGCTGGCTGATCACCCCAAGTAATGGTGCCATATGGAAATCTCAGTGTTGGTCTCTGCTGCTGGCAAATTAGGCACTCAGCAGTCACTGTAGCTAGGTCAGCCTTGGTGAGTGGAAGTCCATGTTGCTGTGCTGAGCCCACGTATAACCTCAGTACCTGCCACCATGGCCACTTTGTTCATGGGCCCATTGGGCGATAACAGGAATGGCTGGGGAAAGAGGCTGAGTGGTGTCCACAGAACGGGTCATCCTATTGACTTGATTATTAAAATCCTCCTCTGCTGAGGTCACCCATTGGTGAGCACTCACATAGCATACAAATATCTTAACAGTTTTTGATCACTTGGAGAGGTCCATCCACATCCCTCTTCCCCAAATTTCTTTGTCACCAATTTTCCTATCATGCTTCTTCCATGTCCTTGACCATCCAGCCAAATCATTAATGACAGCCCATGAATCAGCATATAATTGTACATCTGGCCATTTATCTTTCCATGCTAAGTGCATAATCAGGTGCACTGCTTGAAGTTCTGCCCACTGGGAAGATTTCCCTTCACCACTGTCCTTCAGGAATATCCTAGAAAGAGGCTGTAGTGTTGCAGCTGTTCACTTTCAGGTGGTGCCTGCATATCGTGCAGAACCATCTGTGAAGCATGTCCTAGTTTTCTCTTTCTCTGTCAACTGATCTTAGGGAACTTCCCATAAGGCCACTGGTGCAGGCTTGGGGAGAGAAGGCAGGGTGGCCGGAGTACAGACCATGGGCATTTGAGCCACTTCCTCATGTAACTTCCTTGTGCCTTCAGGACCTGTTCAAGCCTGATCACATATATACCACTTCTATTTAATGATGGAATGCTGCTGCACACAACCCACTTTATGGCTAGATGGGTCAGAAAGCACCCAGTTCATGATAGGCAGTACAGGTGGCATGGTGCCTTGATGACCCGTAGGCAAACATTCAGTTTCCACCAAAGCCCAGTAACAGGTCTAGAGCTGTCTCTCAAAAGGAGAATAGTTATCTGCAGAAGATGGCATGGCCTTGCTCTAAAATCCTAGAGGACTCTGCTCTGATCCACCTATGGGGGCCTGCAAAGGCTCCAGTAAGCCTCCCTATCTGCCACTGACACCTCAAGCACCATGGGATCTGCTGGATGATATGGCCCAAGTGGCAGAGCAGCTTGCACAGCAGCCTAGATCTGTTGCGGAGCCTTCTCCGCCTGGATTCCACTCCAAACTGGCAGCCTTTCGGGTCACTTGATAAATGGCCCAGAGTAACAAAGCCAAATGACGAATGTGTTGCCTCCAAAATACAAATAGACCCACTGGGCGTTGTGCCTCTTTCTTGCTTGTAGGAGGGGCCAAATGCAGCAACTTATCTTTCACCTTAGGAGGAATATCTCAACAGGCCCCACACCACTGGACCCCTAGAAATTACTGAGGTAGAAGGTCCCTGAAATTCAGTTGGATTTATTTCCCATCCTCTGGCACTCAAATGTCTCACCAATAAGTCTAGTGTGTTTGCTGCTTCTTGCTCACTGGATCCAATCAGCATAATGTCATCAATGTAATGGACAAGTGTGATATCTTGCAGAAGTGAAGTGATCATGGTCTCTCTCAATAAGATTATGACACAAAGCCAGAGAGTTGATATACCCCTGAGGTAGGACAGTAAAGGTGCATTGCTGGCCTTGCCAGCTGAAGGCCAATTGCTTCTGGTGGGCCTTATGGACAGGAATGGAGAAGAATGCATTTGCCAAATCAGTGTCTACATACCAGGTACCAGGAGATGTGTTAATTTGCTCAAGCAATAAAACCACATCTGGTACAACAGCTGCAATT
The DNA here is from genome assembly GCF_000001405.40 of Homo sapiens. NCBI lineage: Eukaryota > Metazoa > Chordata > Mammalia > Primates > Hominidae > Homo > Homo sapiens. The sequence goes on from NC_000002.12 coordinate 154,113,982, forward strand.
GGAGTCACCACCTGGCTTAGCTTATGATAATCCACTGTCATTCTCCAAGAGCCGTCTGTCTTCTGCACAGGCCAAATAGGAGAGTTGAACGGGGATGTGGTGGGAATCACCACTCCTGCATCTTTTAAGTCCTTGATGGTGGCACTAATCTCCACCATCCCTCCAGAGATGCAATATTGTTTTTTATTTACCATTTTTCTAGGTAGAGGCAGCTCTAATAGCTTCCATTTTGCCTTTCCCACCATAATATCCCTCACTCTACCAGTTAGGGGGCCAATGTGGGGGTTCTGCCAGCTGCTAAATATGTCCATGCCAATTATGCATTCTGGCACTGGGGAAATGACCACAGGATGAATTCAGGGACCCACTGGACCCACTGCAAGTCAGATCTGAGCTAAAACTCCATTAATTACCTGATCTCCACAAGTTTCTACTTTAAATGGAGGCCCACAATGACGTTTTGTGTCCTCTGGAATCAATGTCAGCTCAGAGCCAGTGTCCAGTAGTCCCTGAAATGCCTATCATTTCTCTTTCACCAGAAGTCTCCTTGGGGAAGGATGGAAGAAATATTAACAGCATAAATTGTCAGTAGTGTAGTGGGGTCCTTCCTTAAGGGGACCGGGACTCCCCTTCATTCAAGGGGTACTGGGTCTGTAAACTGGATCAAGTCTGGAAATTGATTGAGGGGCCATGTTTCTCTGTTTTTATAATCCAAATTGGTCTTTTGTCCATTTGACCTAGAAGTTTTCTGCTTATGTAAATTAAGGAGGAATGCAATAGGCTTCCTATTAATTTTAATTCTAGGAACACTGTGATTAATTAGCTAATGCCCAAACTCTACACAAGTCAGAGTATTTTTAATGCTGCTTTGCCTCTGCTGTTTATTACAGTAGCTATGCTCACCTTGATTTTGATGGTTCAGTGCCACCACTTGGCTTCTGCTGCCTGGGATCCAATTATTCCCACTGTATTTAAATTTTGTAGTTGAGTGACTGTGGTTCCCACCGTTAGATCTGACATATGGAGAAGAGCAATTACAGGGTTTTTTAAAGATGCAGATGCTGCCCTCATAAACTTATTTCACAAGGCATTGGTCAAGGGTATGTCTTCTAGACACTCCCAGCCGGGATGAGTATGTCTAAAGTGACTAACCCACTTCATCATCCCAATCTCCCTAAGTCTTGGGATCTCTTCCTCTACATTAAACCAAGGGAGATCAGACATTTTCAGCTCACTCAGTGTGGGACATATTTTAATCCATATTTTAGCTAACTAAGCAAATAAACTATTAGGATTTTTTATTTTTATCTATTTTTATTATTATTGTTATTATTATTATACTTTAAGTTTTAGGGTACATGTGCACAATGTGCAGGTTTGTTACATATGTATACATGTGCCATGATGGTGTGCTGCACCCATTAACTAACTCATCATTTATCTATTTATTTTTTTTTGAGATAGAGTCTCCCTCTGACACCCAGGCTAGAGTGCAGTGGCACAATCCCAGCTCACTGCAACTTCTGCCTCCCAGGTTTAAGTGATTCTCCTACCTCAGCCCCCTGAGTAGCTGGGATTACAGGCACCCACCATGACACATGGCTACTTTTTGTATTTTTAGTAGAGATGATGTTTTCCCATATCGGTTAGTCTGGTCTTGAACTCCTGACCTCAGGTGATCTGCCCGTCTCAGCCTCCCAAAGTGCTGGGATTACAGGTGTGAGCCACCATGCCCGGCCTATTAGAATTTATTTTTAACTTCCCGATCTGCAACATTAAATGCAGAGTCCCTACTTAGTGGGCCCAAATCAATCAGTTCAGCCTGATCCAACTCAATGTTCCATCCATCATTATCTCACACCCTTAATATTCATTCCCATGCTTGTTATCCAGATTTCTGCTTATATATATTAGAAAACTCAAGCAGTTGTTTTCAAGTGTAGCATACCTCCTCATGGGTCACACTCTGAACCTTACCTCTAGGAGCCCGCTGGGACTCTATTCTAGTTATAGGTCTAGAGGCAAACAGGTATTAGGGTTGGCTTGTGAAGATAATCAACATTATCTTGCCTGGCAACTGCCTCAGGGGAGGCCATGACTGTTGCCTCAGGCAGAACAGGGTTTATTTCCTTAGACAAAGGTAGAAAGGCTGATGGCAGCATGGGTCGGGGAGGGGATGTTGCCACTACTAGGGATGGGGAAGCTGTTTCTTTTGGCAAAAAAGGTGCATCAGTGTTTACAAAGTCAGCGTTCCCAGCTTCATCAGGGTCCTCCCACACATCCTCATTCCAAGTTTTAGGGTGCCATTCTTTTCCAATCAATGCCCTCACTTTAACAGTAGAAACCTGGTGAGGCTGTGCATGCACCTTTCACTGCAGGTCAGCCACTTGCATGATAAGAGCTCGTGTCCTGTTTTCCACAATTTCAGCTCTTTCTCTATAGGAGGTAAGACTCTCACTCAGGGCAATCTAAGCAGATTTGAGGCTTAGTGTCTGCTTCTGAAACAGGGAGTTGCAATCCCTGAGTTCATAATTTTCTTTCATCACTTTGTCCACTGAACTAGGAGCAACCAACCAGCTTCATTGTTTTTTGGTTCTCTACATACAGTCAAAGATATTATGTGCAGAGTCACTAAACTCCTTGCCTCACATGAGCTGTGAATCTGGAATGTCAAATGCATTTAGTTTGTATAACTCTCCAAACAGTTTACACCAAGGACTATCAGTGTTCTCCATACTATTAGAAGTAGAGTCCTTAGCATTTTGGGGTTTAATCATATTAAGCAGTCAACTTCAGAAACCCCCGAACCAATGAAAGAACACCATCCTTAATATTCTGTTTCTCTAGAACCACTCCTGGTACCAAAATCTGTATTAGTCAGTGTTCTCTAGAGGAAAAGAACTAATAAGATAGTTAGATAGATATAAAGGGGAGTTTATTACGTATTCACTCACACACTCGCAATGTCCCACAGTAGGCCAGCTGCAAGCTGAGGAGCAAGGAGAGCCTATCCAAGTCCCAAAACTGAAGAACTCAGAGTCCGATGTTCAAGGGCAGGAAGCATCCAGCATGGGAGAAAAATGTAAGCTGGGAGGCTAGGCCAGTTTATTCTTTTCACATTTTTCTGCCTGCTTTATATTCTAGCCACACTGGCAACTGATTAGATGGCACCCACCGAGATTAAGTTTGGTTCACCTTTCCCAGCCCACTGACTCAAATGTTAATCTCCTTTGGCAACACCCTCACAGACACACTCAGCATCAATACTTTGCATCCTTCAATCCAATCAAGTTGACACTCAGTCAACACTTAATCATCACAAGGTGGTATTTGGTTACATGAATAAGTTATTTAGTGGTGATTTGTGAGATTTTGGTGCACCCATCTCTGGAGCAGTATACGCTGAACCCAATTTGTAGTCTTTTTTCCCTCACCCTCCTCTCACCCTTTACCCTGCATCTCCAAAGTTCATTGTATCATTCTTATGCCTTTGCATCTTCATAGCTTAGCTCCAACATATGAGTGAGAACATATGATATTTGGTTTTCCATTCCCGAGCTACTTCACTCAGAATAAGTCTCCAGTTTCATTTAGGTTGCTGCAAATGCCGTTAATTTGTTCCTTTTTATGACTGAGTAGTATTCCATCATAAATAGACACATTGACCAATGGAACAGAATAGAGAACCCAGAAATAAACCCAAATATTTACAGCCAACTGATCCTGGACAAAGCAAATAAAAACATAAAGTGGGGGAAAGGACTCCCTGTTCAAAAAATGGTGCTGGGATCAATGGCAAGCCACATGTAAGAGAAAGAAACTGGATCATTGTCTGTCACCTTATATGAAATAAACTCAAAATGGATCAAGGACTTAAATCTAAGACCTGAAACTATAATGTCTTCATTTAATCTTCTGAAATTTGCTGAGGCTTGTTTTGTTTCATAACATATGATTTATTTTGGGGAATGTTCCCTGCAGTCTTTAGAAGAATTTGTATTCTGTTGTTATCTGTTGGTTGGAAGATTCTATACATGTCTGTTAGATCCATTTTGTCTACAATGTTTTTTGAACCAATTACTCCCTTATTAATTTTCTGTTTATAAGTAGAGTATTGAAAGTAGGGCATTGAAGTCCCACCTTGTTATTTAATTGTGATCTATCTCTCTTTTCAGTTCTTTTAATGTTTGTTGAATATATATTTAGCTTTTCCAATTTTGGGTGCGGTGCATATATATTTACAACTGATATAACTTTTTGATGAATTGACCTCTTATCATTATATTATGTCCCTCTTTGTCTTTTTTTTTTTTTTACAATTTTTTACTTAAAGTCTATTTTTTTTTTAAGTATAACTATGCTGTCTATCTTTTGAGATTCACTTGTGTGGAATATCTTTTATATTCCTTCACTTTCAGTTATGTGTGCCCTTTATAGTGAAGTCAATCTCTTTTTAGTAACAGGTAGGTATTTTTTTTAATCCATTCAGTAACTCTATTTCTTTTTGTTGAGAAATGTAATAAATTTACATTCCAGGTAATTACTGACGAGTAAGGACTTACTACTGTCACTTTGTTTTCTGATTGTTTTGTAGGTTTTTTTTTTCTTTCTCTCTTGCAGTCTTTCTTTGTGGTTCCATGGTTTTCTGTAGTGGTTCATGCTTTAAATCATGTGTGTAATTCCTGCTTTGAATGCAGGCATTCATGCTTTGAATTCATTCTACTTTTTTTGTTTGTGCTCTACTAAAGATTTTTGCTTTTTTATTACCATGTTGTTTACTAGAACATCCTGTACTTATTGCATTCTATTTCAGTCTGATAAGAACTTAAATTTTATTGTATACAACAACTCTGGACTGTTACTCCTCCCTTCACAGTTTATGTTTTTGATGCCAGAATTGGTAACATTTTTATTATGTATCCCTTGATAATTTATTTTCGCTATAGTTGTTGTTTTGCATTTTAATGCCCATACTAGGAATAAAATTGCATTACACACCTTACACACACATCATTAAAATCCTAGAGTACTCTGAAAATGTTGTTTTACTTATACCATTAGGTTTTGTGCTTTTGTATGTTATTGTTGCAATTTAAATATTAATAACTCCCATTAAGATTCCTGTAAGGCAGGTCTAGTGATGTTATACTCCCTTAGCTTTTGTTTGTCTACAAAAGTTCTTATTTCCCCATGACTCTGAAAAGACAGTTTTACTGGATAAAGTATTCCTCATTCGCAGTTTTCTTTTTTCTTCAGCACTTTGAATATATTATTCAAATTTCTCTTGGCCTGTAGGGTTTCTTCTAAGAAATATGTTGACAGTTCTATTGCCATTCATTTGTGTGAAATGTTTGTCTTGTTTCTTGCTACTCTCAGAATAGTTTCTTTGCTTTTGATAGTTTGATTATTATGTATCTTGTTGTAGTCCTCTCTGGGTTGAATTTGACTGAGCTCTGTGCTTCCCCTACCTGGGAGTTTACATCTATCCTTAGATTAGGGAAGTCTTCAACCATTATTTCTCTAAATATGATTTCTGGCTGCTCTTCTCTTTCTTCTCCTCCTGCAACTCTTATTATGCAAAGACTTGTTCTAGTGAAGGTGTCTGAATTTTTAAGAGGCTTTCTTTATTCTTTTTTATTCTTTTGTCTTTTTGCTCCTCTGACTGGATTATTTCAAATTGTCTGTTTTCCACTCACTGATCCTTTGATTTGTTTGTTCTATTCCGCTGTTTGAGCTTTCTGTTGAGTTTTTCAGTTCTGGTGTATTTTTTATCTCTAGGATTCCTATCTGATTCTTTTTTATTGATTCTATTTCTTTGTCAAACTAATCATTTTTGTGTATTGTTTTCCAAACTTTATTACGTTTTTCATCCATATATCCTTGTACTTTACTGAGCTTTTTAAATGAGCATTATTGTGACTTCTTTTTCAGTCATTTCAATGATATTTATTTCTTTTGGATTTACTATTGTAGCTTTATTGTACATTTGGAGATGTTATGACTCCCTAATTCCTCATAATTCTTGTTTCCTTGCATTGTTGTCTGTACATTTGTGGAGACTTCCCTCTCTTTTGTTTTTAAGGTTTTTTGTTTGTTTGTTTGTTTTTTTGTCAGGGATAGATCTTAACTATTTAATATAGCCTGTGATTCTGGAATGGCACTCTGGTAATAACCCTGGCCTGGTAGAGCTTGCTGTCGGTTTTCCAGTTGGCTTGGCTGCTACTTTAGCTGTGATGTCAGGTGGAGCTTCTGGTTGGGCTCTACTATCAGGCATAGCTTCTGTCTCAGGACTGCAGTGTCCTCTGGTCAGGCTGGTCACAGCATATATTACCTGGCTGGGCAATTCTGCTCTTTGCAATCTGCAGTTGGGCAGGGCTGCAGGCTGGGCTTTGAGTTAGGTGCAGCTGCTACTTGGAGGGACAAATAGGACCAGAGTCTATGCTCATTAGAACTGGAAGACTGAGAATAGTTTTCCTGTTAGGTTGAAGCCATGGGGTGAGCTTTTGGCTAAGTTGAGTGGCTGTTTGACTTTCCAGGTCAAACCAGTGTAGCCCCTTTATTTCTCTGGAATGTATGGAGGTAGAAGTCTCCCTGGCTCAGCAAGGTCATTGGGTGGGCTTTTGTGCTGAGTGGAGCTACTGCATAACTTCCCAGGTCAAATCAGTTTAGCCTTTGTGCTTTTTGTAAAATATACAGAGGTGGGAGTCTTCCTGTCTTGGTCAATCCAAGGGCATGGACACTAGCTGCCTAGGGACCCAAGGTAAGTTAAACTTCCCACCATATTTTTGAAGGCAACTAGGTCAGTTTTTTAAGTGCACTGAGAAGTTGACTTGTAACTCTAATCTGGTGCCACAACTGGCAGGAAAACAGAGCAACCACCAAGATTCATGCGCTAGTCACTATGACCTGCACTTCCTTCCTTTGTTTCTGTCTGAGTCTGAGTATTCTTGCCATTCTGTTTTCCCTAGTGTTCTCCATGAGGTGAATTTAGCATGGACTTCCTGGAAAGAATGTTGGAATTCTAGGGAAGCTGGATGACTGCCTGTCATTTTCTTCTTCCTTTGTAGAAACTGTGGGTCAGGAAAATCCTCTCTGTCTGGTATTGTGCCGACTTGGGGAAGGGAATAAAGTGGTTTAGTTGAACTAAGACCATTCTTCTTACCCTTCTAAGTCAGATTTAATTCTGTTCTATGGAACATATGGATGTTTCAGACATATTTCCAAGTATTGGAATTTTCAGAAGGTTATTGTGGTCTGTGGAAAGTTGCTAGGTGAACTTTCTGTTGGGGGTGGGGAAGTGGAACTTGAGACTTTCTATTTTGCTATCTTGCTGATGCCACTATTTATTTAGTCTTTTGTATCAGTATTAATGTATATACAATAGCGTACTGACATTTTGATTGGAATTGTGTTGAATTTATAGATCAAGTTGGGAGTAATTTATTCCACAGTGTTGTCTTCTAATCCATGAAAACACTATTTCTAAATTTATTTGGATGTTTGATTTGTTTTATCTGAATTTTGTAGTCTAACATATATAGATTTTATACATATTATGTAACATTTACACCTAAATGTTTAATTTTTTGGTGCTATTGTAAATTTAATTGTTAAATATTAAGAGTACATTTACTAAATGTTTATTGCCATATTTTGAGTTTTGTGTATTGTGACTTTGCTATAGTCACAATACTATAGCACCAAATACACAATACTATAGCACTATTTGCTATAGTCATTTATTGGTTTCGGGAATTTTTTTTTTCTATTGTAGATACATTGTGATTTTCTTCATAGACAATATGTCATGTGCAAGTAATGACAATTTTATTTCTTTCTTTCCAATCCATTAAACTGATCTTTCTCTTTCTTGCCTTATTGGTCTGAGATCCAGTACAATGTTGACTAGAAGTGGTAGGAGAGGAATTCCTTGCCTTGATTCCAATCTTGTGGAGGAAACCTTCTAGTCTTTTAATGTTCATTTTGTTGGTTTAGGTTTTTGTAAACATTTTTATTCAAGTCGAGGAATTTCTACAATAGTAATTCTTGATTTCTATTGTCTGAAAGATTTTATGGTGAATTGCTGTTGGATTTCGAAATTTTATGCATTAGTTAATAAGTTAATATGTGAATTTTTTTGGCCTGCTTATGTGGTGGATTTCATTCATGTTTCAAATGTTGAATCGGCCATACATACCTAGATTAAATGTGTGCTACATGTTTATTTATTATATTTTTTTTGTGATGGATAGATTGAAATAATCTTTTTTATTATAAATAAATTTAAGTAATCTAGGATAAAAAATAGCTTCAATTTTTATTCAAATTGGGTTTAGATTGCTGTTTTAGTACCATTTTGTCAAGGATTTCTGTGTCTATCTTCATAAGAGGTATTGGTCCATAATTTTTCTTTTTGTACTATTTTTTCTGGTTTGGTATTAAGGTAATGCTGGCATCATAAAATATTTTAGGAAGTATTTCCTCTGCTTCTTCTTTCTGGAAAAATTGTGAGGAATTGGTATTCTTTTTTCTTAACTATTTGGTAGAATTCACCAATGAAACTACTGGGCCTGGTGCTTTCTTTGTTGGAAGTATAATTATTGATTCAACTTCTACAACAGGTATAGGATTATTCAGGTTATGTATTTATCCTTGTGTATTTTGGTAGTTTTGTGTGTTTTGATAGTTTTGTGTGTTTTGATAGTTTGTGTATTTCAAGAAGTTTTTTTCATTGTAACTAAGTTATAAACTTGATAGATGTAGCCTTGTTCATACTATTTCTTTATTGTCCTTTTGATGTTTATAACATCAGTAGAACTAATGATTTTCTCAAACTACAGATCTAAGTAGTGCAAGAAACACTAACAGGATAAATACTAAAAGTGTACATTTAGTCACTTCGTATTCAAACTGTGGAAAACTAAAGACAAATTGAAAATCTTGAAGGCATCCAGGGGTGGGGGGTAAATGAAAAGGTACCTCACCTCTACAGGAACATGGATAAGAAATACAGCAACTTTCTCAATGCTAACTATGTGAACAAGAAGAGAATGGAATGGATTATTGAAGTATAGAAGGAAAAATGAATAATTTCATATCTAATAAAATTATCTTTCAAAACTGAAGAATAAACATTTTTAAACAAAAAGCTGAAGGAAATTTTTTCTAGCAGACTTGTCCATAAGAAATTTTGTAATCTATAGAAACTTCTGAGATCAAGGAACTTGGAAATGGGACTATGGTGAACAGAAACACAGAGATGCATAGGTATGCTACCATGATGTCAGCATTGAGAAAGTATTTTTTTGTTCATGTGGACATAGTGTGTATTTCTATAAAGTTATATCTAAAACTGTTCAAGTAATGTTTCCTTGTTGATGCTACTATTATGGTTCAGTCTAGGGTGACCCTCAAATATTTGCAGGATGGGGATCAAGATGACAAAATAGACACTCCTATTATTTGTCTAAATATTTCCTATTTATAAAATCAATAGAAAATTATTAAATATATATTAGACCCTTTTAAAAAGGCACACTGAATAACATGGCTACACACTCAATAACATGGCTAAAATTAGAATGAATGATAATATCTTGCCCTGTGAAAGGTGTGTGGAGCAGCTGGAACTCTGACACATTTCTAGTGAAAAAGTGCCTTAGAGAACGGTTTGTCATTTCTTATAAAGTTAAGAAATGTACTACCATTTAATCCAGAAAATGACTATTGATACTCTCAAAATATAGATGACTCTTAAAAAACACTATGCTGAGGGAAGGGAATCAGGCACAAAAGGCTGTATAATTCTATGTGTACAAATGCGAGAAGAAAAAAATATAACTTATAGTGACAAAAGGCATATATCAGCAGGTCTGAGAATTTGCGTGGGCTTCACACAGAAGGAGCACAAGGATTCCTTTAGAGTACAATGCATATTTTCTACATTTTAATTGGAGCAGTGTTTACATGGGTATATACATTTGTCTAAACTCATTGAACTGCAAACAAAAAATATTTTTTATTTTATTGCATTTGAATAATACTTTAAATAAAGGTAGTTTGAAAAAATGTTTCTTAACTAAGAGGGCCAAGAATTAGCATTAAATTAGTGACAGATCTGGGTTTTATATTTTCCCCTACATTGCTTGAAGGTGCACATAAATAGAATCTACATCATTATATTTTAAAAGAGATTTAATCATTCAGATGAGACCAATCTGGTTTCCATGGATGATAAGGAAGCTGTATATCTGTTATACAGATGTGATTAAAAAAAGAAGTTAAAAAGAGAGAGATATGTCCTTAGGTTTCTAGCCAAAAGGAATATGTTCATAGTCTTTGAACAATGGATTCAGAATTTGAATCGAGTATATTTCCTATTTTATATTAAATTACTCTGATGTAGCAATGTTTGCTGTTTTATATTTTGTTATAGATCTGCGTACAACAAATAATATTGCAAATAAAGCCAGTATTAAGTGGACTTCATTTCCTACAGAAATAATTATAGTTATTAAAAAATGACTTCTTTTCATTAGATGAGATATTTTGATTTTTTGATGCCTAGACCACCTGTTTTCTATTCTAACCAAGAAAAGTCATGGAATTAGAAAGTAGTAAAATATATACACTATTCTTGTAATATTACATACCTCTCACTTGTAGGGAAAGTTTAATTAATTTTAATAGATATGGATTCTATGATTTAATATGAAAAATAATCAGTTTGGTATTAGAGACATTTTAAATCAATGACCATGAGGTTAAGTTAAATCGATTAAGAATATATTGTGCTCTGAAAATTCTTCAATGAAATGTGATGCCCTTAAATTAATTTTAAATGTATACCATAGTTTTGATTAGATGAGATTCTGAATTGAGTTTTAGATTGCTGTAGAACAAATAATGAAAGTAACTACATCAAAAGGAATACTACATAAGCCTTTCTGGAGAGATTTTGAACATTTAGTGGTAAATATTAATAACAAACTCTGAGGGTAGGCTGCCTGGGTTTCATTAGAATGTCACTTAGTAACTGGGAAAGCTTGGAAGATGAGTGAGCACAAGGGGCTTTCTCTTTTATCACACTGAGATGATTATAAATAATGCCCATCCCATAGACTTGTTATGTAGCTTAAATGAGTTAATATATGGAACATTTTAGAACAGTGCCTAGCACATGAGCACAGCATAAGTGTTACCTCTTTCGTTATTGTATATGTTGGATGGGAACACAACTGGTCATTGAAATTTTCTAGTGGTACTAGCGAGAAAGGATATCAGAGAAGAAAATGAAAACTTTTGGTAGGTGAGGTAGAGCTATGGAATATGTTAATATTTAGGCTAAGATGCAAGAAATAAAGGTAAAGGTTTTGTCAGTTTTCTTACTAGCATACTCCAAGAATCACAAATAGAGGCAGGCAAATAGTAGTCAACAAATACTTGTTGAATTGAATTGATCTTTCCCAAAACTTAATGTTCAGTTATATCTGAATAGTTATAATTAAATGTGTAATTTACATAAAAATAGAACTTGGAACTATTTACTGAAAGGCTACTGCAAACTTAAAAGGAAATTATGAATTAGATAATCTGCATGTACAAAAACGCAAAAAAGTGGAGCAAAGAGGAGGTGACAATAAGTCATTCTCATTAGATGGGAAAAAATAGAAAGGGATGGAAAAACTCTAAGGAAAAAGATTTTTTGTCAATCTTAATGAATTAACTGTTAAACTTGACGAAGTTTGGTTTCATCTTCCCTGTTTCCTTTTTGTAATGTGAATCACTAAAAGATGACCAGTAAGAATGGAGGTTGGTAAATAACTACAGGAAAACTAAATTTTATAACTGTGCTTTGGACCCCCACTCATAGCTTGCTTTAAAGTCCCAGGAAAAAATCTTTTTATAAGAGTAGAATGCCTTCATTTAATGACCTCAGATTCTTTCTTACAAAGGGTACAATCTACCTTCTGTAATACCTCAGCCTGGGGATCCATGACTGTTTTTCAGTGGGTGAATATCCATTCAGGAGGGAGCACATGAGGTCTGTTAATAGCCAAAACAATAGTAAGTTGCTACTATCATGTGGTTCTGTTTAGTTGGGTGTGGTTACTGAAGACACAAAGCCAATTTATTGCATCACTCTCCCTTCCCTGCTCTTTCATCAATCTACTTTTTCCCAAGACCACATAATTTTACTTTTGGAATTATCATAAATGATTACTAAAATCATGGAGATGAATTTGCAAGACTGAATTGCAAGGTAAACTCAACTTTATTTTGTAACTAAAGGACAGCTAGGGTAAAAAAAAAATACTGGTGCCAAACAATTCTATATTCAAAACATGTTTGTGCATTAGAAATAAATTAATGGGCCAGGCGCGGTTGCTCACGCCTGTAATCCCAGCACTTTGGAAGGCCGAGGCGGGCAGATCACGAGGTCAGGGGATGGAGACCATCCTGGCTAACATGGTGAAACCCCGTCTCTACTAAAAATACAAAAAATCAGCTGGGCGTGGTGGTGGGCGCCGGTAGTCCCAGCCACCAGGGAGGCTGAGGCAGGAGAATGGCGTGAACCCGGGAGGCGGAGCTTGCAGTGAGCCGAGATCGCGCCATTGCACTCCAGCCCGGACGACAGAGCGAGACTCCGTCTCAAAAAAACAAAAAAAAAAAACAAAAAAAAGAAAGAAAAGAAGAAATAAATTAAAGACTGGTAAATCCACAATCTTGAGATTTTGTGATTTTCTAATTCTGTAAGATGTATATGTATGTGGTTTTTGAAGAATGCAAGGTAATGTGGGCTTAACATGCAATGCATGTACCAATGGAGGTTGACTTTTTTTTATTCACTTGGGGGTCTCCCATATGGGAGTGCATGAAATACCACAGTACATGGGAAAAAAGAGGCCAGAGTGAAGAAATAGCGATATGAGGCAAAAAAACAATATCTGAGGGACAATAATGTTTTTATTATGCTGCAATGGAATAAGAACCCATATTTGATCAATAAGCAATCTTAAAGGTCATTTCTAAAAGAATACTCAGCTGCAGCTTAAAAGATAATTTTTAATTACTATTTTTACGTCTCTGGACTATAAAATTTAAAAAAAAGTTTCATATTAGTTTAGTGATGCAAGGAGAAAATATTAACCGAAAATTTAACAATATAATGATATATATTAGAGTTTTCCCTCCCCAGTAGCATGAATAAAGAGCCACTAAGCATAAATTGCAATGGTACCTAATGGGTAGTATTAACCCATAATATAAATAGATATTAAAGCTGTTTTAAAAAGTGACCACTGATACGTATTTCTGTAGAGATCTTAACTGATTTCTAGACGTTGGAAGGCTACTGTGCCATAATAAACTACTTTTTTCTTGCTTGAATAAATTCACACTAAACATTCCTCAGAAGGTTCATAGTTATCTTGAAAGTCAAACATTATTGCAGAATCTTCAGAAGTAAATTAAAACCACATTGATTTTGTTTAAAGTAGCACAGGATTTAAACTAGCAGTGTTTATGTAAGGAAAATTAAGTACCTCCATAAGTAGTTGTGAAGAGGTGAAGAGGAAATATCAAATATTATAAAACAAAAAAAGGAGAGTCAATAAAGATATTTTAGACCTTCTAAAAATATAGGAAGAAGTTTGGGTATGTGTGTGTAGATATGGATATATATGGTCATACATATAGTCATATATATATCCATATCCACACACACACGTGTGTGTGTGTGGATATGGATATATGTGTATATGTGCATATATGTATATGGGTATATATATCCATATACACACACAGAAACTTTTAGATTTGCATATATTTCTGCATACATATGCAGAAATATAAACCTGCATTCATATATGTATATACATAAACATATGATATGTTTATTGCATATAATCAGGTAAAATTTTAAGGATTTTAAGAGGAAACTATAAATAGGGCAAGTTTATTACTTATCCTTAGAGCACTGTGTTATTTCATATTGGTTTACAATTCTATAATGTAATCTTTTCTACAAAAGTAAGTACACACGATATGCCCTTGACCTTATGATGTAACCGAAATTATTTTATTAAAGCAAGGCTTACATAAAAAAGGCCAGGGTATGTTTGACAATGTTCTATATAGGTCTGATGAGTTGTGAGAAAGAGTATGTTCATTTAAAGGTGTACCTACTGGTAATTTAGCTTTGTGTTGATGTTTATAACAGCAATTAAGTTTTGGAACTAGCATATTTCTTTGGCATACTCAGTAAACACTTATTAAATAAGTGTTGACTTATTGTTTTGAATTTTTTAGTTCCTAGAATATTTAAATACTTGAAAAAGGATCAGGAATAGTATATGACCAATTTCTTAATTTTTAATGGCATGCTTGCATTATTTAGTTAGCACATTCAATTTAATTATTTTGATTATTAAAGTAGGTTTTCCTTCTTATGGTGTATTATTAGTATCCTGGTTCTTTTTATTAGTATTAACTAACAGAAAATGTCCAGAGGCAATGAAAAACGCAAAACCCAGTGTAAATTAATAATGAACAGCAAGATTTATAATGATTGTGAGTAAATACAAAGATCAGCAGCTGGTTTATACAGATGGTCAATAAAATGTTGGAATGTCCAAAACATAAACATAAGGGGTGATGGTAGGAGGCGGGTAGTGATTAGATATGTGATCACTGAGGTTAACTGTTAGTTTTGGTAGAACATGGAGCTTTTTTTTCTTCCACTAGAAATTTCCTTCATGAAAAAAATTATCAAAATGCTCCAATTCAAATTACAATGCCTCTTACAGCATGTATACCTCAGTTTATTTTGATAGCCTGAAATGGCTGCTAGAGCATCTGAAAAATATCTGATTTAAAAATCAAGTAATCATTTAGGTCATAAGACATTTAGGTCCATTATTTGACAGCTAAATTGAATAATTGATATAATTTCATATTTCTGAATTTACTGGTAAAATATGTGGGCTTCCTCTCAGAATTACATCTAGTCATTTGGAAATGCAAATCTTACAAATATTTATTAGCCTTATTTTATTGTTTTTTTAGCATCACAGAGATCAGTGATATTTTAACCCTACCTCAAGCAATATATTCTGATTAATATATAAAATTAAACAATCAAATTGTACTTTTAGGATTCCACTATATGTGCCTCACCATCCTAAACTACCTTTTATGGTTTTTGTATCCCCGCCATCCCAATTACCACACACACCAGAGTACACGCATAGATACAGTACCTTAGCAAACCATATTCTATGAAAACTGACAAAGTGATTATCAGGAAAGAAAGCAAAGTATGCTGGTCATTTGAACTTTATCCCTATTTTGGCCCTCAGAAATGTCATGCAGTTAATTTTTTCTTCTTCTTGATATTGTGCCAGTAATAATAATCAGTAAGAAAGTCAACCCCATGCCCAGCATGAATAGGTGAGTACTAAAATAAAATAATACCTATATAACAATCAATGCAATGTAACAGCGAAATGTCTTGAGACATGTAAAAATGTGTGTTATCATCACTTTACCTATAGCAATTTTCAAAGTATGGGGTTTGCAACCCAGGAAATGTGGAAGATGCTTCACTGAAGTGGGAAAAATGAAACACTTTTATTTTATTTTTATATCCTTATATATTATATATAATACGTAAAGATACACATCATCTTTATATTTATCTTTATATTTTACCTTTTAATTTTCTATTTTTGAGTTAAAGTGATACCTATGTTAATTCCCAGCAAACATGATTCATTACAAATTCATACTCAAACATTTTTAATTGATTAATGAACATGGGGCCTGTTGCGAGAGGACTGTTAATGTACTCCTCCATGAGATCTCCTGATCATCAACTTTCCAATCATGTTCTTTGCAGTTCCCTTACCAGCTGGCGAACCTGTTAGCTACTGCTCATGGTTTAGTTCAGGTTCCTACCTCAAGCCATCTCTCCCTTCACACAGTGCTCAGTCAAATTTCCCCTCTAAATTTCTGCCTGATGGAACGATTTCCTTTCACTCACTGACTTGCAGGACCATGCATCAGTAGGGTTATAAAGAAGCAACTGCTAGCAGTTGCTAGCATATCGGTGAATTCTTATTTAATCTAAGCTTGCAATTTTTCTTCCTTTATTAACTGGTCATAAGGTACTCCCTGTGAAATTATAGTTGTGGTTGAGAGAGCCAACCTTAGCAACCCCACAGAGAAGAACTATGGAAATAAATGCCTTGACCTCATTCATCTTCTGTCTCCTAATACTCCATCATTGCCTTACCAACCAGGAGTCAAAGGGAAAGGGACCCTGGCTGGTATGGACATAGAGGTCAGCAACCCGAAGCAGAGAGCTGGAGATGGTGCAGTCAGGCCTGTGGAGCCAAATAAATAGCATTCAGCACAACCGCCCTCAACAAAGTTTCACAGTCCAGCATTAGATTTAATTTTATAAATTAAAATACTTTAGAGTATTTGAGGTGATCCATTTTTCTCTTCACACTTAGTCCAGTATTATTTTATTGATAATTCGTAATTGCAAATTTTGTGAAAGATATATATATTTTTTACTTCCAAAAAGGACTTGTTAGAGCCTGCTAATACTTGCCTCATGCTTTCTGTGACTAAATTAATGTTTGGAGCTCTGTTAGATATTTTATGAAGGTTTATAATAAATAAAATGTTACATCCAGAAATTATTTTAAAAATATATGTCCACTTCCTAACTAGATGCATAGTCAATGAATGCAGTACTCTTTTCTTTATGACAAAAGTGAGTATATTTTTCAAACATGATGAATCCAGCATGCTGCTCAAAGCTTACTATTTTCTATCTGCGGAATAACTCACAATGAATATTGGATTATGTAAACAGCTTCTGTAAAATGGCCCTTGTTTTACTTGAGATGTCCTCTTCCAAAGGGCTTCTCAAAACATCTGGCAGCCAGATTGGTGCTTTTGTTTCCAAAGAATTCATGGTTATTTCAAAAAAAAATTTTTTTTGGCAAAATGGGAAGAATGGGGAAGATAAGGATATTTCCTGTATAAAGCTGAAACTAAGGCCATTACTGGAGCCATTGCAAGATAAGGGCCTTTTAAATATTTTTTATTGAGGAAGCTCATTCTTAATACAGAAGAAAATAATTTCATATTTCAGCATAATTTTATTATCTTAGTGAACACTTTAAAAGTTGGGTCAATGGTTTCCAGGAAACATTTGTGACTGTAACATGTGCCAAACAACCTCTTATTGTATATAAGAAGCGTATGAGCTTAATGTGTATTAGTAGAATATATTATAAGGATGATTGTGAAAGGATTGGCAAACATTTTTATAGTAATATAGGAGTATGCTTTTTCCTAAAAAGGAAACAAGGACCTTGCTACTTATTTTTTCTCAGCTACTAAATATTTTCCTTTTCTGTAAATTGTAATGAATTTCCTGTGAGGAACTTATATCCTAGAACAAATCGTATTCCTTTATAGGTGCTCCTCTGCCCGCTTCTCATCTTATGTCCATTAAGAAACTGTCTCTTCATGGAACTCTGATCCTTTCTTTTTCATTCCCCAACATCTACTGACTCCACTTTGTACCTGTCACTATAAAAGCCAGGTTATATTCATTTTCACTGAAGCCAGATTTTTCGTTAATACCTAGCTAAAATTACCCTAGTGGGTGTATTAGTCAGGGTTCTTTAGAAGGACAGCGTTAATAGGATAGATGCATATATAAAAAGGGAGTTTATTAAGGAATATTGATTCACGTGATCAGAAGGTGAAGTCCCACAATAGGCTGTCTGTAAGCTGAGGAGCAAGGAAGCCAGTCCAAGTCCCAAAACCTCAAAAGTAGGGAAGCCAACAGTGCAGCCTTCAGTCTGTGGCCAAAGGCCTGAGAGCCTCTTGCAAACCAGTGATGTAAGTCCAAGAGCCCAAAAGCTGAAGAGCTTGGAGTACCATGTTCGAGGGCAGAAAGCATCCAGTACAGGAGAAAGATGAAGGCTAGAAGACTCAGCCAGTATAGTCCTTCCACATTTCTCTGCCTGCTTTTACCTAACCACGCTGGCAGCTGATTAAATTGTGCCCACCCAGATTGAGGGTGGGTCTGCCTTTCCCAGTCCACGGATTCAAAGGTTAATCTCCTTTGGCCACACCCTCACAGACACACCCAGGAACAATAATTTGCATCCTTCATCCAAACAAATCAAGTTGACACTCAATATTAACCATCATAGTAGGTAATGTACTGATTTAGAAAATATAGATAATGCAAATGAAAGATGTAAAAGGCCCTTTAATTAAATGAACCACTGCTAATCTTCATTGCTGATATATGCATATACTTCATTTAACTTGTTTTTCCAAAAATAGGCTTATTTTATAACATTGTTTTATAATCCTTTTTTTTTACTTAGTATAACATGAACATCTCCCACATCATTAAATATTCTTCTATGCATCATTTTAATCACTGCATAGTTTTCTTATATGAATGCAACACAATTTATGCAGTACTGTATATAAGATATTTGTGGGGGTGATGATATGTACACTTATAATGGGATCCATGCACAAACACACATGCATATACAAGCTACTTTAATCATGTATGCAGGGCTGGGCACAGTAGCTCATGCCTGTAATTCCAGCACTTTGGGAGACTGAGGCAGGTGGGTCACCTGAGGTCAGGAGTTCAAGACCAAGCTGGCCAACTTGGTGAAACATGAAAAAATAACATGAAAAAATAAAAAAAAAAATTAGCTGGGCGTGCTTGTGCACACCTGTAATCCCAGCTACTTGGGAGACTAAGGCAGAAGAATTGCTTGAACCAGGGAGGCAGAGCTTGCAGTGGGCCAAGATCACGCCATGGCACTCCAGCCTGGGTGACAGGGCAAGACTCTGTCTCAAAAAAAAAAAAAAAATCATGTATGCAGGTAAATCTTTGGACAAATCTATATATGTTTTAGAATATATTTTTAAAAGGAATTTGTGAGTCATAAGTTACAAGCTATGATTCACTTGCTTGTATAGAATAGTATGGGAAGGTGTGATGTGGGCATCCACTGTAGTGCCTATTGGCTTTGGCATATAACCTTCCATCTAAACTAAACGGTGAAATTATTTAAATATCTTATTTAGGAAGAGATTGTGAGCAAGAAAGGCAGAATAAGTGATCCATGATTGTACAGCAAATAGCTGACAATATTTAATAAGCCCCAGTTTGTGTTGAGGTATTGTTGAGACTCCTTTGTAGTAGTTATACAAAATATTATTTTTATTAAAAGTTACTATTGGGGCATTGAAATAAATTAATCATGGGCTTTTTAAATTTAAATGGTGATTTGCTAAATCTCTACTTATGATCTAATTTGTGATCTAATTAAACCCATTAAGTCCATAGTGTCCACACATTTTCATTGTGAGTTGCTATGATTAAAGATTTTTGAGCTTGTATTAACACATATCAATTTATTTATAATGTCTATACATATAGTAATCTCAACTCAATTCATCTAACTTTTTTTCAGTAACATAACAGACCATTTTATATATATATATATATATATATATATATATATATATATATATATATATATCTGAGATGGGGAAAACCCACGTTAAAAACCTCTATTCTAATTACTTTTTTATCAGTCTTTTGATAATAGAACTAGATTGTCTACAAATTGCCTTCTACTTTAAAAAAATTATTCACTGATTGAATGCACAGTGGCAAGTACTGGGATGAGCCAAAATTGATGCACAATGCTTCGGGGAGTTTCATAGACTAACGGAGGAATGAAATAATTATATTAATAAAAATAACACTGACAAGTATAACAAATAGACCCAAAATTCTAATGGTTTAGCAAAATAAAGTTGTTGTTTTGTTTTGTTTTTCATGTAAATTTTGCAATGGATATTTCTCATGAGCAAATGGCTCTCTTCCAAGCAGTGATTCAGACATCTAGGTTACTGTTGGTAGTGTCGACTGCTGTTTTCCACACATGGCTTCCAAAGTTGCTACAGCAGGGGAAAGTACATGGAGAACCACACACGGGAAGTTTTTATGAGCCTGGCTTGAATTGGCACATATCATTTCTATTCTCGGTTAAGGACCACACCTAACTGCAGGGCAGGCTGGAAAATGTTGCATAGCTATGTGTCCAAGAGGAACAACAACTACATTAGTTCAATAGTTAGAATCTGTGTGATAACATGCAAAAAATGGAATTGCAACATTATGAAAAGTATAATGGAATGATGTAAAAGAGCTATAAAATTATGAAAGAGAGTTATCTTACCTGAAAGTTGAAATTGGTCTTCAGAGATGAACAAGGATTATTTGAGTGATCAGAGGTTGAAGGAACTTTCTGGCAAAAGAAATATACAGAAAGTCAAAGAGATGAGAAAAGGAATAATTCTAATACAGCATGGTTAATTTTCAATTCACCCATTAAATTTCCACTACTTTTTCAGAAGGTATTTTCAGGCAAATTTACAAAGATGTATACATAAGGAAGAATATTAATTGCATTGCTGTTTATAATAGATGTGATTGAAACCAACATAAATATTCAAAGAAAAAGCATTGGTTAAATAAATGATGGTATATCCAAACTTTGGAATATTTTGCACCCATTAGAAAATAAGTATGGATTCACATATTTATTTGGAAAGGTTTCCACAAATGTTTTTTAAATGATAAAAATTAGCATGTACAGGCTGCGCATGGTGGCTAACGCCTGTAATCCCGACAGTCTGGGAGGCCTAGGTGGAAAGATCACCTGGGGTCAGGAGTTCGAGACCCGCCTGGCCAACATGGCAAAACCCAGTGTCTAATAAAAATACAAAAATTAGCTGGTGACGGGCACCTGTAATTCCAGCTACTGAAGAGGCTGAGGCACAAGAATCGCTTGAACCCAGGAGGTGGAGGTTGCAGTGAGCTGAGATCGCACCACTGCACTCCAGCCTGGGTAACAAAGGGAGACTCCGTCTCAAAAAACAAACAAACAACAAATTGGCATGTACAATAATGTTGAATGAAATTATAAAATTCAGCATATATGAATGGTCCTATTTTAAATACATATGTATGTTTATGTACAGATTATTGCTGACTGTTCATTCAAGCAGTAGTTTACTTGATATTTCACTGTTTTTCTATAGTGGCTTCCTCCTTTGCTTTCTTCCTTCCTGCCTGCCTGCCTTCCTGCCTACCTTCATCCTTGTAAATGAGCATGCATTATTTTTATCATAAAAATAATATATTTTGAGTAAAAAAAAATGTTGGTGATCAGTGTTCTCTTGTTTCTGTGGATAATCTCTCTTAGCTAGCTGATGTAAAATGCTACCTTATTGATTATCTAATAGATGACACCTTTCTGAGAAGTAGTAGCTAATATATGCTAGACTTGATGCAGCCGGGGCTTGCTATTTACAACTTTCTACATAAGAAATGAAAAACAAATCTTACTGTCAGATGTGTCAGATTTATAAAAGTTGTATATAGTTTATTTTCAAAGGGATGCTAAATGAATTGCTACTTGTCATACATTAAATAGAATAAATTTAGTTGTTTAATTTATAGGTTAACTATCATATTGATATGTGAAGTCTATTTTTGTTTCTAAGAGAAATGGGCCAAAGCAAGTATATACTGAATCCCCTTATTTTATTAAGAATTAACCCTGAGCCACGTGTGATGGTGGGTTCTTGTAGTGTCAGCTACTCAAGGAGGCTAAGGAGGGAGGATCCCTTGAGCCCAGAAGTTCAAGGTTGTAGTGAGCTGTGACCGTGAAACTACACTTCAGTCTAGGTGACATAGAGAAAACCCCATCTCTTTTAAAACAATGAAAAAAGCAATTACTCAAATAATTATCCTTGATAAACTAGAGCCTTTGGACTGGCAAAAGAGCATGATCTGGGTAATGGTGAGTGGAGGGTAAAGTGGTTTTTGTGGTGGGGGGTGGTGGAAAAACCAGTATGGTTTTCTTATCTTCTGAGTCATCTATAAACAGATAATTGATTGACAAGACCAAAAGCATTGTTTTAGGGAAACTGATTTATTGGTAGCAGAGTATGAATATTCAAATATGAGAGGGACTAAAAGTCAGTGTTTCTAATTTATTACAATTGTAAAATTGAAAGTAATGAAAGTGAAAGATCTACAATGCCAATGAAAAGAAAGATTTTAAAGGAAAATATACAGAAAGTAACAACTGAGTAGATCTAAGACTAGAAATACAATTTGAAAGATTTTTTTGACAAGCAAGGCATATGGGATATTATTCAGATTTTGATTCAATGTTATGCTTGTACCATTATTCATCACATATTACTATGTTCTCTAACAGAATAAAATTATTACTTTAAAATCAATCAACTTGAAATGTTTTTTGTTGTTTGTTTTTGCTTCAAGCTTTTTCCTAGATATAGACTAGTTCATTTCTCTTTTTTCAAAGAGACACTGCCCACTAATAAAGGGGTAATTCTGCAAATAAGAAAATGTTCACAATGTAATATACATAAGCAAATAATGCAATTGATAAATAGTGTTCTTTTTGGTAGATTTATCAGTTGTTTTGTTTATAATATGATCATCTTCTTTAACACTGGGAATTCTAAGATTAAAATAAATGTAAATTAAATTTTTTAAGTAGGTTCTGTGTTAGAGAAAATGAAAGGTATAAAATGATTCTGGTTTTATCATATTTCTAAAAGCTTTATAATGTCATTTTGAGTCAAACTAATTATTTTTTTAAATAATTTCACTATATAATTAGGAAGAAAATAGCTCATAGCATAATAAATTAATCTCTTTTTGAAGTCTACGCCAGCTTTGGTATTTGAACATTTCATCCATATTCAAATCAACAATAAAAAAACCACAATGTAGATTTGCTTGCCTTCTGCATTACATTTGCCTATTAGAGTAGATAAATAGCACACATATTTAGATGACAAGTGGTTTTTTTTTTCCTCTGACTATGGGGAAGCATGATATTTTGTGAGTACATGAGTCTCTTTGTGTGTGTGCTATGTAAAGGAAATCAACAGGTGAGAAAAATGTATAGAAACTGATATTTAAAGGTGCTTAAGACCAGTGATAAGTCACAACACCCAACTGCTTATTCTTTCCCATTTGTTATTTATGCTATTTGAAGAATTAGAAAAGTGTTTTCTTCTGGTAAGATGCCTTCCTCCAGGTAAAAGCCAGAAAAAGTAAAAGGCTCGTTCCCCACTATAACTACTTAGCATTCTTTTTGCTTGAGCAAAGTGAAAAACACCAATAGGCCTGCTTATACACAGGCAAAACACACACACACACACACACACACATTTTAAAAATGTCAAATATATATTCATTAGAAGCTGTAACAGAAGAATGTATTTAACTCTGGGGAGAAGACGCTTAACCTGATATTCTTTAAGTTGTTACCTATTCTCCACTAAGAAACTGAGAATAATTAGGAGAATGACTACATGTTGTTGCAAGTAGTCCTAGGTATACGGACACTGTTTATGACCATTTTAATTTCATTGATTATGATACCAAAACATGGCACAATTACTCCTGCTACCACTGACAAAACTATAACTTACATAATGTGAAAATAAAACTGTCATGCCTTTGAATATATTGCAAATATCAAATACTTCTGTGTGCTTTAAATTGACCTTCATAGCTTAAGGTGTTAGAGTTGAGCCCATGTCTTTTCCACAGAGCGAAATTTTAATCCTATCTGCTTCCTAGTCTTGGAAGCATTGTGTTGATTATGGTGACTTTCTCTGCAGCATGTCTTTTTATCAGTTTACAGACGGTGAAAGGGATCAGAACATGCATCCCCAAATATGCCACTTTGTCATATGGGTTATTTTAAGCTGCAGGCTCTTTCTTAAGAAAGAGCACATGCAGGAAGCTGTTTCTGATCTCCCTGTTTCTGCCTAAAAGAAGGTCACAAAGTTTCCCATGATACAAATCCCCCCACCCCTTCCCACTGTATTAGAAAGCAAAAATTGTTCTCGTCACCAGAAGTTATGAGTCAACACTGGAATGGACCTATGCAAACAAGCTTACTAAAATAACCCTAATCTCCTCATAGTTTTCCCCATACATTTCCTAGTTACAAACCCACAATTTACTGCCCCTAGCTCCCTACCTAAATCTCCTTTGTATTATCACTTACTGACAATTTATTATTCTTTGTTTAAAGTGATATATAAGCTTTTGGGCCTAAAAGGTTCTTTGACCTTCATTTTCCTTCTGAAGACTCCTGTGTACACATAAAAATACATTTGTATGCTCTTTTCCTATTAATCTGTATTATGCCAGTTTAATTCTTATATCACCACAGAATGTAAGAGGATAAAGAAGGTTTTGTTCCCCTACAAAGATATTGTAAACAACTGTAAACAGGGAATTTCTTTCTTAATTTCCAAAAATTATTTTTAAAAATGTACCCCAAATTATTTAACCATTCAAAAGAATCACAAATTTTCAAAATGTTAAGAATCAGAATATTTTTTATACCAGGGAAAAAGTATCTCTTTTTTATGGAATTAAAGTTACAGTCCAAGATATGTTAAAAAAAAAAAAAAAACCTAAACTGAATATTTATGGTTAATAGGAGCGCCCATGTCACCTGTTTATGTTCTTATTTCAGAATTAGAAAGACTCACAAAGAAGCCACATATAAATTCATTTAATACTTTATGTAGACTAAAAAATTTTTTTAATCTTACAAATGAAAGATACCTTAATGTCATTGTCTCACCGACATCACAAATTCATCCAAAGCCAAATCCAATAACGTCATCTGAGTTTAGGGATATTACATATACTAACACCTAAAGAAAATTATTTTTATTGGAATTTTATTTCTTAAATTTAGAAAAATACACCTTCTCATAAAATTTCTGCCATTGTTTCTATTTTTGCTTTTTAAAGTGAATGATAATCTTTGTAAACTTTATTTTGATGACAACTTTTTAAATAGTTTGAAATTGAATACATATTTTTTTCTATATTCAATGTTTCCAGTTCTAACTATTTTTATATATGTGAGAGGATTTCAAGGCCAATCACTTTTTTTTACCCATATCTAAAGGTCCTTAGAGATGCCTATTCTCTTATATGGTTTGACTCATGCCATTACAAAGTCATCAACTGGATGGTCAACTGTGTATTCATGCTAATAATACCAGTTTTGCTGTTTTGTGGCTATGATGGTTGGCTCAGAGCAAAATTTGCTGGATGTGTTCTATCCTAGTTTTTACCATATTCATACATTATTTTAGAATTTATGTTTTTAATGAAATGTTCTAACTTAAAAATTATTTTCATATGCATTATAGTCCTTATTTTTTTTCAGTATTTCAAGGTATGCTGTGCCTAAATATGTGCCTTTTAATTTATATGGAAATTAAACTCAGTAAGATTAATGTGTTAGGAACTATAATATAGCAGAACATTGGAAGAGTCGAGACATTGGAAGAGTCGAGACCAGAACCACATTCCTTTCACTTTAACCTAATTTAATATCACTCTGAAGAGTAACTTCAGGATGCATTTGGGCCAACTGGCACTTTGTCTTATTACTATATATTAGCATGCATACAGGTATGTGTAGGCAACACACACACACACACACACACACACACACACCCCTTGAAACGTATACTTTAGATCTAGAAGGGACTTTAGTGTAGTGATAACTTGGGAGAAGTGGCGAGAAAATTAGCCTATATATCAAATCCTGCGTTCTCTTCACGAATATTCAAGCCCAGAATATTATTGTGAAGTTTCAATTATAGAGCACATAGTATCCAAATTTCAACTTGACATTTGAAGTTATGTGTCACCACTATGAAGCTTCTTTTGACACAATTCAAAATGTTTAGTTTTGTTTGCCTTTATAAAGATGTAATGGCAGTAGATATGTGAAATATCAAAACATTTAATTGGATGTGAAAATAAATTAATCTTAGTATTCTTTAAAGTTCTTTTATTTTGCATTATTTTGTCTGCCTAGTGTTCAACTTCAGTTTTCTCTAATAGTGTATGAAATATATGACAGAAGTTTTAAGATTGGGTATTTTGTACATTTAGAATTATTGTCTTAATGTTTAGTCATCATATAATTTATCTAAACTTGGAAGATAATACGCAGAATTGATGTTTTTCTTTAGCAGAGTGTGTGGTTTATAATCAGTAAAATCTTGATCATTATATTATAAAACCTGTATGTAAATAATATGCTTCAGAATCTAATCAGACACACAAGTTTATTTATTCAGTTCATTATCTGTGTGTTTGTATGTATGTCTGTATCTCTGTATGTCTTACAGCTGTTATTTCAAGAAACCAAGAAGGGCCAGGAGAAATGGGAAAAGCTGTGTTGATTCCTAAAGATGACCAGGAGAAAATGAAAGAGCTGTTTAAAATCAATCAGTTTAACCTTATGGCCAGTGATTTGATTGCCCTTAATAGAAGTCTGCCAGATGTAAGATTAGAAGGGTAAGTTTGCATTTGTTATATAATCTTTTATATTCATAATCACCATATTTCAGAATCTCAGAACTTGAGCTAACTCAGATTATATCAATTCTAGCAATGTGTGGTTCTGAGTACCTATCACATAGCAGGAATTTATTGTGCATGCATATGCTGAAAAAGGCGAACTATTTTCTTCCCTGGCAAAGAAAAATACGTTACTTGCAAAGATGCTGCAAAATACTCAGGCCAAACAGGTTTTTCTATGTGAGATGTTTTTTGTTGTTGTCATTTTGTTGTGCTTTCTTTATCGTACCAGATTCAGAGCAAATATGCTCTTTAGTAGATTACAGTCGTATATTGCTTAACACTGCAGAAATGTTCTGGAAAATATGTCATTAGGCAATTTTGTCATTGTGTAAGCATCATAGGTGTACTTACACAAACCTATATGGTATAGACTACTACATTTCTAGGTTATATAATGTAGCCTATTGTTTCTAGGCTGTAACTCTGTACAGCATTTTACTGTACTGAACACTAGAGATAAATGTAACATTATGTTAAGTATTTTTGTATCTAAACATAGAAAAGGTATAGTAAAAACACGGTGTAACAGATAAAAATTTGTATACTTGTATAGGTCATGTAACATGAATGGAGCTTGCAGGACTGAAAGTTGCTCTGGGTGAGTCAGTGAGTGTGTAGTGAATGTGAAGGCTTAGGGCATTACTGTACGCTACTTGTAGACTTTATAAACACTATACACTTAGGTTATACTAAATTTCTTTTTAAAATTTCTTTCTTCAGTAATGAATTAACCTTACATTACTGTGATATTTTTACTTCATAAAGTCTTGAATTTTTTTCACTTTTAAACTGTTTAGTATTAATACTTACCTTAAAACACAAGCATACTATACAGCTGTAAAAAATATTTTCTTTCTTTATATCCTTATTCTATTAGTTTTTTTCCATTTTTAATGTGATTTTCAATTTTTTCTTTTAAAAACGAAGACACAAACATACACATTAGCCTAGGTCTATTCGGGGTCAGGATCATCAAACATCACTAGGCAATAGGAATCTTTCTGATTCATTATAATCTTATGAGACTCTCATCATATATGTGATCTGTCATTGGGTAATGCATGGCTGTATTTGCCTTACTGCATAAAAAGGTCCATATACTTTGCTTATAAAAAGTATACCTGCATTGCTTTTCCAGCACAAAAATAGCTCATTGTCTATATGACTCTTTCACCCTATAAAAGTGGTTTATTATGGTTTCCAGCAATTTATACTGCTGTTTATAATTAGAATGCTTAATTATCAGCTATGGAAGAAATATGCACTTGGAAATAATATTGCACGAAAAATGATGTTGAAAAATTCAACTTTTATGTGATTAACTGTAAGCTATGCTCTAGATAGTTGAACATATTTTAAACAGATGTAATAAAATGAAAGTATTTAGTGGCAGAATTGTAATTCTAATATATGGTCCTCGTAAAACAAACTCTTGGCATTAATAAAAGATGTGTCTTGAGATTTTAGAAAATCTCCAGGTTTACAAATATACTGCAGGACACACTTCCATGTAAATAGAAATTGTTCTTTTAAGCACTTAGTGATTTTTCTCTACATGCAATAGAACATAATTAATGCAAATAAAATTTGCCACCTCTAGTGGGCTACATTACACTACTGTGTCATGATATTAGCATCATATTTACTAACTCTTATTTTTTTCTTTCTGAATTACTTCATATAATATGAAAACCTTGGCTGGGCTTGGTGGCTCATGCCTGTAATCCTAGCACTTTAGGAGGCCAAGGCAGGCGGATCACCTTAGGTCAGGAGTTTGAGAGCAGCCTGACCAATATGGTAAAACCCCATCTCCACTAAAAATACAAAATTAGCCAGGCGTGGTGTTGCATGCCTGTAATCCCAGCTACTCAGGAGGCTGAGGCAGGAGAATTGCTTGAACCTGAGAGGCAGAAGTTGGAGTGAGCCGAGATTTTGCCATTGCACTCCAGCCTGGGCAACAAGAGCGAAACTCTGTCTCAAAAAAAAAAAAAAAAAAAAAAAAGAAAGGAAAAGAAAAAAGAAAACCCTGTTGAGATTCCAGGGCTTGTAATTGTCAGAGGTTTATTTGGTATCTTAGCAACTGCTTTGTGACAACCATTGTATACTTTTGAAATGTCTCTCTCAACAAAATCACAAGTAATTACATATTGTGGACATTTTTGGCCCCTGGGGAATAGTTCAACATTTAATATTAAATTTGTGCATTGCAAATTATTATGTAAAAATAATTTTACATGTAGTCCTGTGCATATGTGTGTGTGTGTGTGTATATATATATATATATTTGTTTGTATATAGATACATTTAAAAGTACATACAATAAGCATATACAAAAAATATATACAATAAACAGTCTTCGAAGCAATTTTGAGCATTTTAGATGCTAAGTTTATAATGTTTAAACATTGCATTTATTACTTTGTTTTATATGCTGTAGTATGCTGTAGTGCAATGGTCCCCAACCTTTTGGCACTGGGGACCAGTTTTGTGGAAGACAATTTTTTTACACATTTGGAGGTGGTGGATTGGGGGTTGGGGGTGATTTCAAGACGAAACTGTTCTAACTCAGTTGATCAGGCATTAGATTCTCATAAGGAGCACACAGCCTAGATCCTTCGCATGCGCAGTTCACAATAGGGTTTGTGCTCTTATGAAAATCTAATGCAGTGGCTGATCTGACAGGACACTGAGTTCAGGTGATAATGCTTGCTCTCAGGCAGCTCACCTCCTGCTGTGTGGCTGGGTTCCTATAACAGGCCAGGACCAGTACTGGTTTTCAGCCCCAGGAACCTCTGCTGTAGTGTGATAAAATGAGTGGCTATGATACTTATATATTCCAGAAAACTAGGTAAACACTATTTCAAGTTTTTAAAAAATCTCGACTTTCAACTGTCAGAATACAAATAAATCAGAACCATGAATTAAAAAAAAAATAAGTCTTCACTGAGCTAATGTTTAAAATATTCATAGCCAGTGATTTTTTTTTTTTCTTTTAAGAATCTCTGCCAGGCACGGTGGCTCACACCTGTAATCCCAGCACTTTGGGTGGGAGGCTGAGGCGGGCAGATCACCTGAAGTCACGGGTTTGAGACCAACCTGGCCAACATGGTGAAACCCCGTCTCTACTACAAATACAAAAATTAGCCAGGTGTGGTGGCCCATGCCTGTAATCCCAGCTACTCAGGAGGCTGAGGCAGGAGAATCACTTGAACCCAGGAGGCAGAGGTTGCAGTGAGCCGTGATTGTGCCACTGCACTCCAGCCTGGGTGACAGAGTAAGACTCTGTCTCAAAAAAAAAAAAAAAAAAAAAAAAAAGAATCTCTTAGCTCTAGTTTGTTGTCTTACTCTAAGAAAAAAAGGATCCCTTGGCATACTAAGTTTATGAGTAAGTCTTAAACTGTGGAGCAATCCAACATTTTAAATGAATAATTCAAGTTGCTTAGCATGTAAAGTACATAAAATCCTGTATATACTGTGGTTATTATTGCTTGAATTTTCATGTTTTACAAATAGTCTCTGAAATAATATTAATGAAAAAACTTTTCATTTTATTTTTATATAAAACTACAGTATATGTTATAAGTAAGAAAACAGTAATACCATCCAAAATTCCTAGACAAGTCACAGTGTATGAGGTTTACCAGGGACATTTGCAAGTCATCTTGAATGACTCAATTGTAGAACTGCCTGGGAACAACTAATGTTGAAAAACTTACCATGAGTCACATATCCAAACTGTTATTTAAAAGATGTAGAAATGTTAATACTCATTTGATCTAGAAAATATTTTTATAATTTGATTATATGCCAGTTACAGTTCAGTTTTTGGATAATTATATCTTAAAAAGATATAGATACATTAAGCTAGCACAAGTGATGACTGATGTAAAGATGTAAAAAGAATAGGATTCTAAAATAATTAATTTACGAAGAAGCTGAATTTATTTTAGTGGAAAACTTGAGTTGATACTTAGAAAGTGTCTGAGTCATCCAAAATGTGAATTCATTCAAATATCTAATCATATTTTACTGCGTTATACCTTTAAACTATTTTGGCTAAATTCAGAAAATTGTCCAAAAAGTTTAATGTTATGTTTGACGCTAATATCAATTTACAAATATTGGAAAACGTATTCGGGGAATAAATCTAAGCATATATGCTATGTTTACACAGAGAACAGACTAGGTAAAAATAGTTTTTCTTGGAGGCAGTTGTGAATAACCATCAGGACAAATTGAAGTTCTGTTCTGTAATATCTATCCCTAGGAATGTTTAAATATTTATAAAAATTTACTTAAAGTATTTAATATTTTAATACACGCAACACATTTGTATGTAATCCTAATTTTTTTGATAGAAGATGCTAGTTACAAAGAAATTATGTTACTTTTATATTTTAAGTACAATTAAGGGCAGATGCCTTATGAAATGTTTTACCTTCTTGAAGGCCCTTCATTCCTGGGATATTTATGTAGTTCTCTCTCTCTCTCTCTCTCTCTCTATCTATCTATCTATCTATCTATCTATCTATATATATATATATATATACACACACTAAAAATTTACATATAAATTTATATATAAATTTTATTTATATGTATAAATAAAATTTTAGACAGCTGTAACCAGCCCTCTCTCTCCTTTGCCCATTCCCCCACAAATAAAATTTTTAAAGTAAATATCTTAATAGCCTATCTGATTCAGAATGTTGAGAAAAATGACTATTAACTAATGGCTCAGCATTAGAGATTTGTTAGCATGTTTCTCATCAATTATGGGGCTAAGATTTGTAAATTTGTATATTTTGGATTTCAGAAGAGCAGGGTTTAAATGCTTCTGTTGTCAGAAAGTAAATAAATAGATGCCATTTTGTTTGGCTTTTAACCTAAAGTCCTTTAGCATTTACTTGAATTCAGTCATTTAATAACACTTCAAGGGCTGGTATTGAGTGTTTTTGAAGGTTATAATGCAGCTAGCATTTAAATATTTTTCATCAGGAAAAAATTGAGAAAATAGGAAATTTATTTTAGCTTTTTATATCCTAGGCCAAATAACTGCTTCTTACATATGCACACTTTCAAGTCAATAAAGAGGAAAAGACTCTAGCAGCCTTACATTATTAGTGGAAGAGGAGCTGTAGCATACAAATTTTGAATAAGTTGCTCTCAAAGGACAAAGAATTTATTTACTACATAAAGTAGGAATAAGACATAGTATATATTTTTTCTGTGCTCAATCTCGTGAGTACGTGCTCATTTATAAGGTTTGCCTTTCCCATGAATTAAAATATGATAAATGTAGCATTGATTGCACAAAGGAGAAATAGAAAATGAGAATATTAATTGGATTTCCAATCTCTGTTCCACATCTTTTCTTTTTAATTTGAGAATTATTGCAACATTTATATGCTGGTAAAAATCTTCCCTGTGAAGATACTAATAATTTCTTTAATAATTTGATTTATGTAATGTGCTCATGTGTAGAATTAATTTCACTATCCAAATTAAAAGTGGTATGTTAGAATGCCTGTATGTTTACATATGCACAATGTATGTGTGTGTGTGTATATATATATATATACACACACACACACGCATACACATACACACACATATATACATACACACTTGAGGAATGTGGATATAAGTATTATTATCATTTGGGGGATAATAACACTGTTACACTGTAAGTTTCCTTTCAAATAAGAAAGTAGAGTAACACATGTCTAGGCATGTTCTCAGAGACACATTTAAGTACGTTGTATGCAGAAAACATGCCACATAACCTTTATTTACACTTGAACTACCCCTCCATAGTTTCATTATGTAATTTAATTTTCTGACACTACTACCTTCAACTTCTAAAAAAAAGTGGTATTATATACATAACATAAAATTGACAATTTTAACTATTTTAAAGCACATAGCTGAGTAATGTTAAGTATAAAGGACATCAGAATATGCTACCCTAAAATATGCGAATTTAGCATAAAGATCCTTTTGAGCTGAAGGCAATTAAGGAAAAGCAGGCACAGGAAACCTCTCTACTCTTCCCCATCTACCTAAAAGTAGGGCATACATTTGACTTATAAAAGCATCCCCCACTCTCATACCAGGAGGAGAAGAGCAACCTTTATTAGCAGAAATAGAAATGCTGTCAGGATAAGCCAGCATAAACAAATCTCACTAAATAACCTTTATTATCCATTAGTTTCCCTCCTGCATTACAGAGTTTCCCACCTTAGAAGCCCCAAACCCTTTTCCTTTGTCTTGCCACTTCTCCACAATTTATCACCCTTTTTTAAAACGTCATATAAACCCACTGAGTGTCACTACTTGTTTGGGTCTTCACTTCTTTTCTATGAAGGTCTCCGTTCATGTGAAAATCAAATGATTATAATCAAATAAAATGTGTATGCCTTTTTTCCGGTTAATCTGTTTTTTGTTAGTTTAATTCACAAGCCCCAGTTATAGAACCTAAGAATGTAGAGGAAAGGTTTTTCTCTTCCCTGTAAGTGAATTTACATTGTTGTGCAATGAATCTTTAGCATTATTTTCATTTTGTAAAACTGAAACTCTATAGCCGTTAAACAGGAACTCCACATTTCTCCAGCCCCTACCAACCACCATTCTATGTTCTGACTTTCTAAAGTTGGTATTTTCAGCATTTATCGGGACCTAATTGTGTACCAATGAAAACTAAAATATACGGTTTTACATTAGAGAATGGAATGACTATATACATATATATGTATTTGAATGGAATATATATATTTGAATGGAATATATATATATATTTGAATGGAATTTTATATATATATATATATATATCTCCTAGTATGTGGCAGTGTGAATTTAGAAGTGCCATTGTATCAAGGCATGATGAAGGACAGTTTTACAGGAAGGTGTATTTGGAACCAAGCTTTGTAAGATGAATTTGTGTAGAATCAGGCTGACACAGAAAGGAGACAGCAGAAAGGAGAGTGTAGACAAGCAAGCCAGTTCTGGTTAGAGGAGGGCCAATGAAACTCTTTGCTAGGAATGTGCATCATAGGTAAACAGGTATGGAGCCTGGCTACTATTTTATTTATACACTTAATAATTCATATATTCAAGTTTACCAAATACCTATTTGTTTGTTTGTTTTTGCAAATTCTAATTGAGAAAGCAGAAAATCTAATTTTCACTTTCTAAATCTACCTGGTAATCATATTTTTACTTATGTTTTTCCTACTTGAGTTATGTAGGCCTGAAAGGGTTTTTAAAATATTATCCACTATCATGGTTGTTAATGTGTTCTTATATTTCTTTCTTTTTTTTTTTGCTGGGATTTTGCTTTTATTTTTTATTTTTATTATTATTATACTTTAAGTTTTAGGGTACATGTACACAATGTGCAGGTTAGTTACATATGTATACATGTGCCATGCTGGTGTGCTGCACCCATTAATTCGTCATTTAACGTTAGGTATATCTCCTAATGCTATCCCTCCACCCTCCACCTTCCCCCCTCCCCACAACAGTCCCCAGAGTGTGATGTTCCCCTTTCTGTGTCCATGTGTTCTCATTGTTCAGTTCCCACCTATGAGTGAGAATATGCAGTGTTTGGTTTTTTGTTCTTGTGATAGTTTACTGAGAATGATGATTTCCAATTTCATCCATGTCCCTACAAAGGACATGAACTCATCATTTTTTATGGCTGCATAGTATTCCATGGTGTATATGTGCCACATTTTCTTAATCCAGTCTATCATTGTTGGACATTTGGGTTGGTTCCAAGTCTTTGCTATTGTGAATAGTGCCGCAATAAACATACATGTGCACGTGTCTTTATAGCAGCATGATTTATAGTCCTTTGGGTATATAACCAGTAATGGGATGGCTGAGTCAAATGGTATTTCTAGTTCTAGATCCCTGAGGAATCACCACACTGACTTCCACAATGGTTGAACTAGTTTACAGTCCCACCAACAGTGTAAAAATGTTCCTATTTCTCCACATCCTCTCCAGCACCTGTTGTTTCCTGACTTTTTAATGATTGCCATTCTAACTGGTGTGAGATGGTATCTCATTGTGGTTTTGATTTGCATTTCTCTGATAGCCAGTGATGGTGAGCATTTTTTCATGTGTCTTTTGGCTGCATAAATGTCTTCTTTTGAGAAGTGTCTGTTCATGTCCTTCGCCCAGTTTTTGATGGGGTTGTTTTGTTTTTTTCTTGTAAATTTGTTTGAGTTCATTGTAGATTGTGGATATTAGCCCTTTGTCAGATGAGTAGGTTGTGAAAATTTTCTCCCATTTTGTAGGTTGCCTGTTCACTCTGATGGTAGTTTCTTTTGCTGTGCAGAAGCTCTTGAGTTTAATTAGATACCATTTGTCAGTTTTGGCTTTTGTTGCCATTGCTTTTGGTGTTTTAGACATGAAGTCCCTGCCCATGCCTATGTGCTGAATGGTAATGCCTAGGTTTTCTTCTAGGGTTTTTATGGTTTTAGGTCTAAAGTTTAAGTCTTTAATCCATCTTGCATTAATTTTTGTATAAGGTGTAAGGAAGGGATCCAGTTTCAGCTTTCTACATATGGCTAGCCAGTTTTCCCAGCACCATTTATTAAATAGGGAATCCTTTCCCCATTGCTTATTTTTCTCAGGTTTATCAAAGATCAGATAGTTGTAGATATGCGGCGTTATTTCTGAGGGCTCTGTTCTATTCCATTGATCTATATCTCTGTTTTGATACCAGTACCATGCTGTTTTCGTTACAGTAGCCTTGTAGTATAGTTTGAAGTCAGGTAGCGTGATGCCTCCAGCTTTGTTCTTTTGGCTTAGGATTGACTTGGTGGTGCGGGCTCTTTTTTGCTTCCATATGAACTTTAAGTAGTTTTTTCCAATTCTGTGAAGAAAGTCATTGGTAGCTTGATGGGGATGGCATTGAATCTATAAATTACCTTGGGCAGTATGGCCATTTTCATGGTATTGATTCTTCCTACCCATGAGCATGGAATGTTCTTCCATTTCTTTGTATCCTCTTTTATTTCCTTGAGCAGTGGTTTATGGTTCTCCTTGAAGAGGTCCTTCACGTCCCTTGTAAGTTGGATTCCTAGGTATTTTATTCTGTTTGAAGCAATTGTGAATGGGAGTTCACTCATGATTTGGCTCTCTGTTTGTCTGTTATTGGTGTATAAGAATGCTCATGATTTTTGTACATTGATTTTGTATCCTGAGACTTTGCTGAAGTTGCTTATCAGCTTAAGGAGATTTTGGGCTGAAACAATAGAGTTTTCTGGATATACAGTCATGTCATCTGCAAACAGGGACAATTTGACTTCCTCTTTTCCTAATTGAATACCCTTTATTTCCTTCTCCTGCCTGATTTCCCTGGCCAGAACGTCCAACACTATGTTGAATAGGAGTGGTGAGAGAGGGCATCCCTGTCTTGTGCCCGTTTTCAAAGGGAATGCTTCCAGTTTTTGCCCATTCAGTATGATATTCGCTGTGGGTTTGTCATAGATAGCTCTTATTATTTTGAGATACGTCCCATCAATACCTAATTTATTGAGAGTTAATAGCATGAAGAGTTGTTGAATTTTGTCAAAGGCCTTTTCGGCATCTATTGAGATAATCATGTGGTTTTTGTCTTTGGTTCTGTTTATATACTGGATTACATTTATTGATTTGTGTATATTGAACCAGCCTTGCATCCCAGGGATGAAGCCCACTTGATCATGGTGGATAAGCTTTTTGATGTGCTGCTGGATTCGGTTTGCCAGTATTTTATTGAGGATTTTTGCTTCAATGTTCATCAAGGATATTGGTCTAAAATTCTCTTTTTTGGTTGTGTCTCTGCCCGGCTTTGGTTATCAGGATGATGCTGGCCTCATAAAATGAGTTAGGGAGGATTCCCTCTTTGTCTGTTGATTGGAATAGTTTCAGAAGGAATGGTACCAGTTCCTCCTTGTACCTCTGGTAGAATTCGGCTGTGAATCCATCTGGTCCTGGACTCTTTTTGGTTGGTAAGCTATTGATTATTGCCACAATTTCAGAGCCTGTTATTGGTCTATTCAGAGATTCAACTTCTTCCCGGTTTAGTCTTGGGAGAGTGTTTGTGTCGAGGAATTTATCCATTTCTTCTAGATTTTCTAGTTTATTTGCATAGAGGTGTTTGTAGTATTCTCAGATGGTAGTTTGTTTTTCTGTGGGATCGGTGGTGATATCCGCTTTATCATTTTTTATTGCGTCTATTTGATTCTTCTCTCTTTTCTTCTTTATTAGTCTTGCTAGCGGTCTATCAATTTTGGTGATCCTTTCAAAAAACCAGCTCCTGGATTCATTAATTTTTTGAAGGGTTTTTTGTGTCTCTATTTCCTTCAGTTCCGCTCTGATTTTAGTTATTACTTGCCTTCTGTTAGCTTTTGAATGTGTTTGCCCTTGCTTTTCTAGTTCTTTTAATTGTGATGTTAGGGGGTCAATTTTGGATCTTTCCTGCTTTCTCTTATGGGCATTTAGTGCTATAAATTTCCCTCTACACAGTGCTTCGAATGCGTCCCAGAGATTCTGGTATGTTGTGTCTTTGTTCTTGTTGGTTTCAAAGAACATCTTTATTTCTGCCTTCATTTCTTTATGTATCCAGTAGTCATTCAGGAGCAGGTTGTTCAGTTTCCATGTAGTTGAGCAGTTTTGAGTGCGTTTTTTAATCCTCAGTTCTAATTAGATTGCACTGTGGTCTGAGAGACAGTTTGTTATAATTTCTGTTCTTTTACATTTGCTGAGGAGAGCTTTACTTCCAAGTATGTGGTCAATTTTGGAATAGGTGTGGTGCAGTGCTGAAAAAAATGTATATTCTGTTGATTTGGCGTGGAGAGTTCTGTAGATGTCTATTAGGTCCGCTTGGTGCAGAGCTGAGTTCAATTCCTGGGTATCCTTGTTAACTTTCTGTCTCGTTGATCTGTCTAATGTTGACAGTGGGGTGTTAAAGTCTCCCACTATTATTGTGTGGGAGTCTAAGTCTCTTCGTAAGTCACTCAGGACTTGCTTTATGAAACTGGGTGCTCCTGTATTGGGTGCATATATATTTAGGATAGTTAGCTCTTCTTGTTGAATTGAACCCTTTACCATTATGTAATGTCCTTCTTTGTCTCTTTTGATCTTTGTTGGTTTAAAGTCTGTTTTATCAGGGACTAGGATTGCAATCCCTGCCTTTTTTTGTTTTCCATTTGCTTGGTAGATCTTCCTCCATCCTTTTATTTTGAGCCTATGTGTGTGTCTGCATGTGAGATGGGTTTCCTGAATACAGCACACTGATGGGTCTTGACTCTTTATCCAATTTGCCAGTCTGTGTCTTTTAATTGGAGCATTTAGCCCATTTACATTTAAGGCTAATATTGTTATGTGTGAATTTGATCCTGTCATTTTGATGTTAGCTGGTTATTTTGCTCGTTAGTTGATGCAGTTTCTTCCTAGCCTCAATGGTCTTTACAATTTGGCATGTTTTTGCAGTGGCTGGTACCGGTTGTTCCTTTCCATGTTCAGTGCCTCCTTCAGGAGCTCTTTTAGGGCAGGCCTGGTGGTGACAAAATCTCTCAGCATTTGCTTGTCTGTAAAGTATTTTATTTGTCCTTCACTTCTGAAGCTTAGTTTGGCTGGATATGAAATTCTGGGTTGAAAATTCTTTTCTTTAAGAATGTTGAATATTGGCCCCCACTCTCTTCTGGCTTGTAGAGTTTCTGCCGAGAGATCCGCTGTTAGTCTGATGGGCTTCCCTTTGTGGGTAACCCGACCTTTCTCTCTGGCTGCCCTTAACATTTTTTCCTTCATTTCAGCTTTGGTGAATCTGACAATTATGTGTCTTGGAGTAGCTCTTCTTGAGGAGTATCTTTGTGGCGTTCTCTGTATTTCCTGAATCCAAATGTTGGCCTGCCTTGCTAGATTGGGGAAGTTCTCCTGGATAATATCCTGCAGAGTGTTTTCCAACTTGGTTCCATTCACCCCGTCACTTTCAGGTACACCAATCAAACGTAGGTTTGGTCTTTTCACATAGTCCCATATTTCTTGGAGGCTTTGTTCATTTCTTTTTATTCTTTTTTCTCTAAACTTCCCCTCTCGCTTCATTTCATTCATTTCATCTTCCATCACTGATACTCTTTCTTCCAGTTGATCGCATCGGCTCCTGACACTTCTGCATTCTTCATGTAGTTCTGGAGCCTTGGCTTTCAGCTCCATCAGCTCATTTAAGCACTTCTCTGTATTGGTTATTCTAGTTCTACATTTGTCTAAATTTTTTTCAAAGTTTTCAACTTCTTTGCCTTTGGTTTGAATTTCCTCCTGTAGGTTGGAGTAGTTTGATCGTCTGAAGCCTTCTTCTCTCAACTCATCAAAGTCATTCTCCGTCCAGCTTTGTTCCATTGCTGGTGAGGAGCTGCGTTCCTTTGGAGGAGGAGAGGCGCTCTGCTTTTTAGAGTTTCCAGTTTTTCTGCTCTGTTTTTTCCCCATCTTTGTGGTTTTATCTACTTCTGGTCTTTGATGATGGTGACGTACAGATGGGTTTTTGGTGTGGATGTCCTTTCTGTTTGTTAGTTTTCCTTCTAACAGATAGGACCCTTAGCTGCAGGTCTGTTGGAGTTTGCTAGAGGTCCACTCCAGACCCTCTTTGCCTGGGTAACAGCAGCGATGGCTGCAGAACAGTGGATTTTCATGAACCGCGAATGCTGCTGTCTGATCATTCCTCTGGAAGTGTCTCAGAGGAGTACCTGGCCATGTGAGGTGTCAGTCTGCCCCTACTGGGGGGTGCCTCCCAGTTAGGCTGCTCGGGGGTCAGGGGTCAGGGACCCACTTGAGGAGGCAGTCTGCCCATTCTCAGATCTCTAGCTGCATGCTGAGAGAGCCACTGCTCTCTTCAAAGCTGTCAGACAGGGACATTTAAGTCTGCAGAGTTTACTGGTGTCTTTTTGTTTGTCTGTGCCCAGCCCCCAGAGGTGGAGCCTACAGAGGCAGGCAGGCCTCCTTGAGCTGTGGTGGGCTCCACCCATTTCGAGCTTCCTGGCTGCTTTGTTTACCTAAGCAAGCCTGGGCAATGGCGGGCGCCCCTCTCCCAGCCTGGCTGCCACTTTGCAGTTTGATCTCAGACTGCTGTGCTAGCAATCAGCGAGACTCCATGGGCATAGAACCCTCCGAGCCAGGTGCAGGATATAATCTCCTGGTGTGCCGTTTTTTAAGCCCATTGGAAAAGCGCAGTATTAGGGCGGGAGTGACCCGATTTTCCAGGTGCCATCTGTCACCCCTTTCTTTGACTAGGAAAGGGAACTCCCTGACCCCTTGCGCTTCCCGAGTGAGGCAATGCCTTGCCCTGCTTCGGCTCACGCAGGATGCGCTGCACCCACTGTCCTGCGTCCATTGTCTGGCACTCCCTAGTGAGATGAACCCGGTACCTCAGATGGAAATGCAGAAATCACCCATCTTCTGTGTTGCTCACGCTGGGAGCTGTAGACCAGAGCTGTTCCTATTCGGCCATCTTGGCTGCTTCAGTGTGTTCTTATATTTCTAATATTTTGTTTTGTTCCCTATATTTTTGTTCCATGTGACTTAAGGCAGAAATACTCAATTATTTAAACCTCAGCAAAAATTAGAGTTCACAGCAATTAAATCTGATAGTTTTTTCCAAAAAAATAAGAAAATTTAATAAAGAAAAAGTAATTTTTAAAATGCAGAAGGTTTGGATAACCAAGGAATGGAAAATGATGATACAGTTCAGACAGAAGGTATGTGAGGCCTGTGAGAGGAGAAAACAACTCAATTAGAAAGTTGTTAACTATCCATCCAAGCTCATTGGCCTGCAGAGGATGATGAAGAATCTTAAAAACAATTTTATTTAGACATGTGATAATAGTCAACAAGGAGATTTTAGAACAAAAACATGATGTGATGGAAATGATATTTAGGAAGCGTTATTCTTGCAGTATTATATAAAAGGTATTATAGATAAGAGAAGCCTGAATTTAATAAGATTCCCTATTGACTATTATAGTCACATAGATCTGATTGGATAAGGAACTTGTCCAGGACAATGGCCTAAGAAACATAAAGCAATATGTAGTAATTAATTAAAATGAAGAGAAAGGAAAAACACCAAACTTAAGATAGCTTCAGGAGGGATGGCATGCGGTTGAATTTTCAACTTTATTTGTATGTGTAAGTATTTGTGTATGTGCATTTATAGGAAAGACAGAAAGGAACTGTAAGTAAAAATTATCCTAAGTATATTTTCAACTGATTTTCCAGAATAGGTGACTTACTAGATATAAGGGAAGTCAAAATATGACTTTAATGTTTCAAATTGGGTGACTAGGAGATTTGTGGTTTTGCTGATTGTTTATGTTTGTGTGTGTGTGTGTGTGTGTGTGTGTGTGTGTATAAACATACATATACAAAGAGAAACACATAAATGCCACTTTTAATATGGATAGTAGAATTAATTTTGCACATAAGAACATTAGATAAATCAAAATATTATGGAAACTATTATTGTTATCTTCAGAGGCAAGATTTTTTACCAGCTTATGAAAGCTATAGTAATTCTCAACTTGAAAATAAAAGATGTGTACCAGAGATCAGAAATTCAATTAATATTCTCACTTCTATTTCATCTTTATGAAATCAATGCTGCCTTTATCTGTATATTATTAAAATAATTGTGCAAAATATAATTTTTAAAAACAGCCATTTGAAAGTCAGTCTTTGTGGTTAAAATGTGTATTTTTTTATTCGTCTCATGGAAGAAATCTAATTTAAAAAGCAAAGATTTGTTTTAGTAAACATTTGCAGATTGATTCAATTTAAGAAAGCAGATAGTTTTGTTATTGCTAGAAAAATCCTATGTGGAGGAATATTTGACTTCTGTATTAAATTACTTCTCACTATTTTTTGCCCCAGATGTTTTCTGTGCACATACCAGTTTCTTAAGGGAAGGGTAAATTGTTCTAATGCCAGCTTACAATAGTATTTTGCTGAGGGAAAATGTGATTTTATAGTTAAATAGCTTAACTCATGATAGTAAGACATAGTTTTGTTGACATGAGAGATGTTAGCATCTGTCTAAAAATTCTCATTGTATATTATAATTAATATTCTCATCAGCTTGCAAAGTCTCCCTGTAGAAGCCAGTATACTTTCTGTATGGTAATTGCTGTTTAAATTAGAAAATTTATATTTGGACTTTGAATTTTAATATTTAATGTTGCTATGTAATTTTGTTCATTAAGAATATTGAAAACAAGGCCCAAAATAAGTTGCATTTTGTTACATTCCAAGTCCAACTTGAAATAAATGGAGCATATTAATGGTTATACTTTTAGGATAAAACTATATATGGACAAATATATTTTCTACATATATTTATGTATTGCATAATACATATATATTCGACGTATATTTATGTATTGCATTTATAGTGTCTTATTTTATTTTTTCCCTAACATAAAGCATTCTTTCTATTATTTTTTATGTCTTTTATTTGTGAGTTATACTGTAGATACAGATAGAGACATTTTCACTAAAATGTCATAGGAGACTTTCTGGTTATATTTGACCAGATAGTTAATTTTCTAAGATAGTGTTCTATCTTCAAATAGAAATGGAAAGATCAAATAGAATGTGATTGTTTTATCATCATACTATATAAAATGGCGTTGAATTTCACCATATAAATTCTTAAGTAAAATTCACATTTT